>NC_000002.12:31797878-31950628 GCF_000001405.40 Homo sapiens | reverse complement strand
GTGCCTCAGCCTCCCAAATCTGGGATTACAGGTGTGCGCCACCATGCCTGGCTAGTTTTTTCTTGTGTTTTTAGTAGAGATGGGGTTTCACCATGTTGGCCAGGCTGGTCTCAAATTCCTGACCTCAAGTGATCTGCTTGCCTGGGCATCCTAAAGTGCTGGGATTACAGGTGTGAGCCACTGTGCCCAGCCAAAGAAATACCTTTTAATTGCTTGTTCATTAATAGGTTTTTTTTTGTTTTTTTTTTTTGACGGAGTCTTGCTCTGCTGCCCAGGCTGGAGTTCAGTGCTGTGATCTCTGCTCACTGCAACCTCTGCCTTCCAGGTTCAAGAGATTCTCCTGCCTCAGCCTCCTGAGTAGCTGGAATTACAGGCACCTGTCATCATGCTCAGCTGCTTTTTGTATTTTTGGTAGAGACAGGGTTTTGCCATGTTGGCCAGGCTGGTCTCAAACTCCTGACCTCAGGTGATCCATCTGCCGTGGCTTCCCAAAGTGTTGGGATTACAGGCGTGAGCCACTGCGCCCGGCAATAATATATGTCTGAACAAGTTTAAAAGAACTCTGCCAATAAGTGTAAAATGACATAATTCTAAGCAATAGAAACCATATGTCATAGTTTGAGAGAGGTTTTTTTCCTTCTTAGTGATACTTAAAATAATGGTGCACCCAAATATTGATGGTATCTTTTTAATTTTTAATTTTTATTTTTTGCGGGTACATAGCAGGTATATATATTTATGGGAGGTACATGAGATGTTTTGATACAGGCATGCAATATGAAATAAGCACATTATGGTTCTGCTAATAGTTGCAAGGGAATGGGGTATCCATCCCCTCAATCATTTATCCTTTGAGTTACAAAGAATCCAATCATACTCTAAATTATTTTAAAATGAGCGATTAAGTTACTGACTGTAGCTAACCTATTGTGCTATCAAACAGTAGGTCCTGTTCCTTCTTTCTGGTTTTTTTTTTTTTTTTTTTTGTACCCATTAACCATCTCCACCTCCTATCCAACCCTCCAATACTCTTCCCAGCCTCTGGTAACCATCCTTCTACTATGTCCATGAGTTCCATTGTTTTTTTTTAGATCCCACAAATAAATGAGAACATGCATTGTTTGTCTTTCTGGTGCCTGGCTTATTTCACTTAACATAATGATCTCCAATTCTATCCATGTTATTGCAGATGACTGGATCTCATTCTTTTTTATGGCTTATGTGTATGTACCACTGTTTCTTTATCCATTCATCTGTTGATGGACACTTAGGATGCATCCAATCTTAGCTATTGTAAACTGTGCTGCAACAACCATAGGAGTGCAGGTATCCCTTCAATATAGTGATTTCCTTTCTTTTGGGTAAATACCCAGCAGGAAAATTGCTGGATCCTATGGTAGCTCAATTTTCAATTTTTTGAGGAGCCTCCAAACTGTTCTCCATAGTGGTTGTACTAATTTAGATTCCCACCAACAGTGTATAAGGGCTCCCTTTTTTCCATCTCTTTGCCAGCATTTGTTAACTGCCTGTCTTTTGGGTACAAGCCATTTTAACTGGGGTGAGATGATATCTCATTGTAGTTTTGATTTGCATTCTGTGATCATCGGTGATGTTGAGCACCTTTTCATATGCCTGTTTGCCATTGTATATCTTCTTTTGAGAAATGTCTATTAAGATTTTTGCCCATTTTTGATACAATTATTAGGGTTTTTCCTGTGGAGTTGTTTGAGCTCCTTGTGTATTCTGGTTATTGATGGCATTTTGAAGTTGATGAAATGTGGTTAATTTATTCAGTTTAAAGGATTTAGATTATCTCAAAATCCTGCCTCAGCCTTCCAAGTAGCTGGGACTACAGGTGTGCACCACTACGCCTGGCTAAATTTTGTATTTTTAGTAGAGACGGGGTTTCGGCACGTTGGCCAAGCTGATCTCAATCTGCTGACCTCAAATGATCTACCCGCTTTGGCCTCCCAAAATGCTGGTATTACAAGTGTGAGCCACTGTGCCCTCTTTTGTAATTTTATTGGCCTGTGAAAATCAGAGATCCAGGAACCGCTGTTTAAAACACTCTGGCTTATTCATCTTATTATTTATAGATTTCTCACGATAGATCAGTTTATTTCTTAGTTTGATTTGAACATATTTCACAGAATGATTAATAATGAAATACTGGGTGCCAACGGCCTACTTTTATTTGGCTTTTTATGTGTTGCTTCTTGTTACCTTATACCCAACCATGTGGGATTGAGTTTATTGTGCTAATAGGCAGGTATTACCTATAAAAAAAATGGAAAAAGTTGTGGCAGTTGGTCATTCTTTAAATTACATATGTAGAATAGTTTCAGCAACACTAGAAGGCTCCCTTGTGGAGAAATGTTTCTCTTACCAGCTTGTCCTGGTATCTAAAATAGATCTTTTCTTTATCTACACCTTCATTTTATCTCTAGAGGAAACTTTGTATACATATGGATTTGCGAATTCCATGACAACTGTTGATCTAGACAGGTTGCTGGAGTATAGCCTATAGGCCAGCAACATTGCTATCACCTGAGAAGCATGTTAGAAATGCAGAATCTCAGTCCTACTGTATAACTGTAGGATCAGAATCAGCATTTCAACAAGATTCTCAGGTGATTCATACTCACTAAATTTGAAAAGAGAACACATGACTTTTGTCTAGAGTAAGGAGGAGCAGGCTAAACAGCGATAGAGAAGTATAGAAAACCAATTTGGCTTAGTTCATTAGCTTATTTTAGAATGATTCTGTTAATAGTTGCAAGGGAATTCTTGAAAAGCAGGTGTGTGTGTGTGTGCGTATTTAGTGTCTGGTTTTGTCACCATGCAAATAAACTTACTTGGAAAATATTCTTTGAGTCAAGTGGGATTTAAATAGAAGTGTTACTGTATTTCCTACAGCTCATTGTTTATTATCTATTTCTTGAGGAGATACCTCAGCTTAATTCTTTGGGAACCTACTTTTACTGTTGTATCCAAAAAAGTAAATGCCTATTTATCCCTCTTAAGGGCAAGATCACACAAACATTAAGTAGTTTTGCTAGGATTTAGCAATGCTTTTTCTTTTTCCATTTATCAGTATTTCTTCAAACCCAGTGGTATTTGAAAATCAAAGCACGTATTTCTAAATCCTTCATGTATCAAGGATACCATATTGGCAAGTATTGGCTAGTCTCTGTGAAAGAACTCAGATTCACCTTTTTACTTGACACTTTATAGATAATTAAGCAATCATACGTAATAAATAGGTATGCTTAATTATCTTATTCAAAGATAAGTGAGAAACTTGGAGTTTGGCTCTTACCTTAGCGTCCTTGGGAAGAAATTGGTCTTTTTACAGAAGTAGCCATATGAAAGCTTGGTTTACTGCTTAAAAACAGTGAGGTTGTTGGCAGTGGGGTGGATGAATTCAGGTATATTTTCTTTGCTTTTATCTGTTTTTCACATTGGTTCTGTAAACTTCCTGTGTTGTGAACGTTTTTAGGGTTATACAGTCGTGTTACTTAATCACAGGGATGCACTCGAGAAATGGTGGTTAGGCCATTTCGTTGTTGTCTGAGCATCATAAGAGTGTATTTGCCAACCTAGATGGTATAGCCTACTATACACCAAGGCTAGATGGTATAGCCTGTTGTTCCTAGGCTACAGACCTATACAGCATGTTACTGTATGGAATACTACAGGCAGTTGTAACAAAATGATATTTGTGTATGTAAACATAGAAAAGGGAAAAGGTAGAGTAAAAATACAGTATTGCAGTTTTTCTTTTTTTTGCAATGGAGTCTCACTCTCTTCAGGGGCGTGATCTCTGCAACCTCTGCCTCCCGGGCTCAAGTGATTCCTGTGCCTCAGCCTCCCAAGTAGCTGGGACTGCAGGCGTGGCCCACCATGCCTGGTTAATTTTTTGTATTTTTAGTAGAGATGGGGTGTCACCATGTTGGCCAGGGTGGTCTTGATCTACTGAGCTCAGGTGATCCACCTGTGTTGGCCTCCCAAAGTGCTGGGATTACAGGCATGAGCCACCGCGCCTGGCCCGGTGTTGTCATCTTATTGGATCACTATGGAATATGCAGTTCATTGTTGACCGAAACGTCATTATGTGACACGTAACTTATTTTTCCTTAAGTTAATAATGAAATTACTTTGTATAAGTTTTTTGGTAACTGTTCTTAAATTCAAATTTTAAGATGAACACCATTGTTTAATCACTGAGTCAGACTTTTTTTTTGTACTTTGGGAATTTACAAATTTACTGTCCATTTTAAACTTGACCTGTTTATGTGTAGCATTATAAATATATACAGAAGGACAGTAGATGCTTAATTTCAGTGCATGTTATTGAAACACAAATACAAAATAAAAACAAGGAATATATACCATTTCATATCCAGATTGACAAAAATGAAAAATTCTGACAATATCAAATATTGGGAACGACGTAGGGGAATGTGAACCTTTAACTATTACTTGTGTTAGCAATGATGAAATGCAATTAAAACCAAAATCTGCTTCCCCCAGAAAACATCTCTTCAAAGGTAGAAGAAAAAGGAAACAATTTCAGTTTTTAATAAGTATTAAACCAGAATGACACGTGTATCACAAGCAATCTGCTAAAAGATTGCAAAGACCAAAAGAATGCTCACCCTTACATCTAGCCAAGTGGATGTAACCCATTACATACATGTTCTCAAGATAAATAGTAAATAGTGTTCAAGTAAGAGGACTTGATACCATCATTTGTCACACATAGTTTGTCCTAAATTCACTTGGTAATTGGAGCAACCTTGTGTGTGAACAAATTGGCTTTTTCTAAAGGAAAAATGAACTCATATCTTTATGACAGGATGTAATTTTACAACTTGGAACTAGATGGCCTGCCAAAGTTAGGCACCCTGTCCTCCCACAGAAACTGGGAGATAAGGGTGCCGTCTCTCTTGATGATCTCATTTGAAAGAGATGGTTATAAGGTTCTTGAGAAAGGCAGTTTTGGGCTGCTGGCTAGGGTTTTACAAAGATTTACATACATCTCTAAGCAGGCAGAGAAAGAATTTACCAGGTTTTGAAAGAAAATCCTCTAAGAAAAGGGGGTCGGGGAGTACAGGTAGAATTAGGCCTCTTATTTTAAATTTTAATTTGCCTGTATACTGATGGATAAGTTGATCCAGCTACCTTAGTGGGCAAGTTAGCAATGCTGTAGTCAAGTTGAAGAAGAGTACACCCTCTGATTCAGCACTTTTACTTTTAGAGAAACTGTTAACATATGTTCATAGGATACTTGTAGCATTATGTATTAATAGTGAAACATTGGCAACAACTAAAGTATTTGTAAGTAGGAAAGTGAATAGATAAATTTTGCTATATTCGTATAGTGCAGTACTATACAGCCCTGCAAATGAATGATTTAGGGCAACATATATCAACTTGAGTAATTTTCAAAACAATGTTGAATTACTAAAGCAAGTTGCAGAAGGTTGTGTACAGTATATTGATACAACATTTGAAAACATGCAGAACAATACCACTTATTGTTTATTGATACATATACAGTGAAAGTAGAATAGAATGATAAACACCAAAATCAGGAAGTGGTTACCTCTAAGGAGGGAGATGTACAAAGGGATCAGCAAGGTATTCATTTATTTCTTAACCAAGGAAAATCTTAAGTAAATAAGGTAGAATGTTAAGATTTAATTTATTTAGGCAGTGGGTATGTGTGTGTTTGTTATATTATTACCTAGATTCTTTTGTAATGTTTAAATATTTAATGATTAAAAGTTTTAAAAGAAAGAATGGATGGCAAGCAGTGGAAGGAAATGAGGACAACTCTTCAAGAAAATTTGTTGTAAAGGGGACCAAAGAAATGGAGGGGTAGTTGAAGGGAAATTAATCAGTGTTAGTATGACACATTTGCATGCTAATAATAATGATAAAGTAAAAAAGGGAAGAATTGGTATAGGAGACCTATAATAGTTATGGGAGCAGAATCCTTGAGAAAGAAAAAAATAATGGGATCCAGTACAGAAATACCGTTTGGCTCTTGATAGGAACAAGGACAATTTGTTGAAATACGAGGGAAAGCAGAATAAGTGGTGGGAAGATGAAGTAGTTATCTTCTCAATTTAGGGTGACCAACATCCAGGTTTGCTTGTGATTTAGCAGTTTCTCAGAATGCAGCACTTCCAGTGCTAAAACTGGGAAAGTCTTGGGCCAACTTCTGATTGTTTTTCCTTGACAAAATGAAAAGCATTGATCATTATCTTCTGGAAGTGATAAGGGGATGAAGGAAGTATTGAGGCTTAAGGTGAAAAGAGAAGGTATGAGTTAATTCTCTATCTTAAAGATAGGAGAGCAGATTCACTACGTTAATGTGATGGGATTTCTGAGCATTTTAGGGGTCTGCTGAAATTTATGGTTATTATTTTAAAGTTTATATGGTTGTATTTCTCTTTAGTCTCATTCAGCTATTCAGGTAAAAGTACTGAGTTAAGTGGAAAGTTGGTTTTAAACTATGTTTTGACTGTGATGGAGGGAGAGAGGAGCAGAGGAGTGAGGCCACAGCAAGGAAATGACTGTGATGATGGATTTTTGAGTCTCAGACTAGGTAAGAAGTAGAGACGAAGGACAGTGGAAAAATTTGTAGGGTCTGTTGGAGTTAACAGGTTTCTGGTAGTGAACTGGAAAAATTAGTATATTGAGTAAAGAAGCTGAGATGCTTGAAACTGAGATTTTTAAGGTAGCGTAGTTACTGGTTATCGATATTTCATTATGAGAATAGGGGACTGGAGTGGGATGGAAGAAAAGATCATTGGGTGTGGAAGTGATTACCTTCTGTGGATGTCATTTCAGTGATTAATCTGTAGAGCAGATTTTGGTGCTCTATAACATATTCAATTATTTCCTCTTCATACACTGAGAGTTTCTGCTTCCTGTTTTATTTTGTTTAAATATTGCCTCAACTTGTAAATCACATTGTGTTGCTCTGAAATGAAGACAGCTGTAAATAAGTAAATCGATAAAAGCAAATTTTGTTTAGTCAGAATTTGGCCTTATCATATGGCTTGTTAGAGACTGTGTAGTTGGTAAATTCAAACATTAACATCCCAACTGATGATCCTATTGCGCATTAAGCTAGTTTAGTCCCACATAAGTTCAGTGAGGGCTTTATGCCACATATGTTTATCTGTAGTACATTGCTTTGCTGACTCTAATTTTGTCTTTGTCTTTTTATAGGACCGCAGCTGAATGCACAGCTAGAAGGTTGGCTTTCACAAGTACAGTCTACAAAAAGACCTGCTAGAGCCATTATTGCCCCGTAAGTCTTTTTTGTTTTTGTTTTTGTTTTGTTTTTTGAGAAGGAGTCTCCCTGTGTCGCCCAGGCTGAAGTACAGTGGCATGGTCTCGGCTCACTGCAACCTCCGCCTCCCAGGTTCAAGCGACTCTCCTGCCTCAACCTCCTGAGCAGTTGGGACTACAGGCGTGTGCCACCACACCTGGCCAATTTTTGTATTTTTAGTAGAGACGGAGTTTTACCATGTTGGCCAGGCTGGTCTTAAACTGCCGACCTCAAATGATCCACCTGCCTCGGTCTCGCTCACGCCTGGCCTGCACTGTAAGTTTTAAGAGTCTACTTAAAATCTTTTTTGTATGTTTATTATTAGTAAATGAGTATCTACAGATTGAACTAAAAATTAAAAACTGAAGTCTATACTGAGCTGAAGAAATTGTATTCAGTAATTTTCACAATTCTTGTGGGTTTTCACTGTAACTTAAGGATAAAAGAATTGGCTACTTTGGCTGCGTGTGGTGGCTCACACCTGTAATTCCAGCACTTTGAGAGGCCAACGTGGGAGGATTGCTTGAGCCCAGGAGTTTGAGACCAGCCTGGGCAACATGGTGAGACTCCATCTCTACTAAAAATACAAAAATTAGCTGGGTGTGATGGTACGCTTGTAGTCCCAGCTAAGCTACTGGGGGTGGCAGTGGTGGGGTTCTGACGTCGGGGGTCGCTTAAGCTTGGGAGGTGGAGGTTGTAGTGAGCCAGATCATGCCACTGCACTCCAGCCTGGGTGACAGTGAGGCCCTATCTCAAAAAAAGAAAAAAAAAGAATTGGCTACTTTATTTCCTCAGATAGAGTAATTTCGAAATGTATTTTTGATAATAAAACTGACTTTTAAAGAAAAGTGTTTTTTACATCAGGTAAACTTGCCAATTTTGGTAGCCATTGCTATAAATGAATAAGTTCTATTTTAAATATTAAAGAGATCTAATTTAATCCCGATGATTTTTAATTTATAATGAAAAAGATATATTAAGCATAGTATGGTGCAACATGGAATAGCAACTTAATTTTTGAGGAGGAGTAGATTGTGTCTTTTTTTAATTGAGAAAATCTGATTATTTTGTCTTTGGATTTTAGAGTTTGCTTTTTAGAACTGCAAGCTAGCACATACACAGTTAATGATGTGTGTCTGTGTATGATATGAATTCAGTTAATTTTGATTTGGTTTCCAGTGCTAACCTTCACAACATATTGTTTGAAACACATGGTAACATTTTTTCTGAGAAGAGTGAAGGTTTACTCTGTGCCATTTGTCTCATAGCATGTTGTTGTTTGTGACTTCTATTGGGTTAAGGTTCATGCCCTGATAAATAGTAAATAGTGATGACAATATATAATAACCGTTTTTAATCAATATCAGAATTAAATGAGCAAATAGTAAATACACATAAAGAGCCTACTATTAATGGTAGGCATTTTATATACCAAATATTTTGTTAAATGCCTTATTTGTATATCTAACTTGATCTCATTTAATGGGTGCAGGAGCCTGACTCCTACTTACAAGCTATGTGACATGCAACTTTTTTATCTGTTGGGATTTCAGCTCCTCATTGGTAAAGCTGGAATAATAATAGTATTTCCTTAACGCTTTTAACAAAAGATTAAATGAACTAATCTTTATAAAACTTACAGCAAATGACTTACTACTATTTATTTAGTCATTTACATACCAGGCTAAAGGCCAAGTGCTCTTCTTTGTGCTGCATTTTGAGTAAATCAAAGTTGCCACTCTTGTGGTACTAGCATTTTGGTACTAGGGAAGACAGGCAGTAAACAAATAATTATATTCTATGTCAGGTGCTGATGGGTGCTAAGAAGAAAAATAAAGCAGATAGAGGATTGAGAGTGACAGTATGGGTAGGGTGTTACTGTTTTATATAGGATTAGTAAGAAAAGGACTCCCTGGTAAGGTAACATTTTAGTCTGAATGATGTGAGAGAGCAAGCTGTGCAGATAGCTGAGGGAAGAGGGTTTCAGGTTGAGGAACAGTGAGCACAAAGGCTCTGGAACAAGAGTATGCTTAGTGTGTTTGAGGAGAAGCAAGGAGGCCAGTGCAGCTGGAGTGGCAGTACAAGGGGAAGAGTGGTAGATGAGATAGGCAGCGGAGGGCTAGATCATGAAGAGGCTTTGTAGTCATAAGGACTTTGGTTTTTATTCTGAGTGATATGGCAAGTCATGACAAGTTTTGAGCAGTAGAATGACATGATCTGACTTAGGTTTGAAAAGAATTACTCTTGCTGCTGTATGGATATTATATTATGTGGGAACAGGGAGTCCAGTTTAGGAGGCTTATTTTACAATTATAATTATAGAAAAGAGATGACATAGTGGCTTGGATTGGGGGCTTGAGGCAGAGATGATGAGAAGTAGTGTATTCTGGATATGTTTTAAAGGTTGGACCAACAAGATAGAGAGAAGAAGAGTCAAGAATGACACTTGGCTAGGGGCAGTGACTCACGCCTGTAATCCCAGCCCTTTGGGAGGCCTAAGCAGGAGGATTGCTTGAGGCCAGGAGTTTGAGATCAGCATGGGCAACAAAACAAGACTCCATCTCTACAAAAATTAGCTGGATGTGATGGGATGCAACTGTAGTCCTAGCTACTTGGTAGATGGAGGGAGGAGGATCCCTTGAGCCCAGGGGGAGGCTACAGTGAGCTATGGTCTGTTTGCACCACTGTACTCCCGCTTGGGCAACAGTGAGATACCCTGTCTTTAAATATATTTTTAAGACATGGTTTTAAAATATCATGACTGAATGATTCTTATGTTTTGTCCTGTGAAACTAGAAGGATGGAATTACCTTTATACTGATAAGGGGAAGACAAGTGGAAGTATGGAGTAGATTTTGAAGTGTTCGTATAGAATCTAGGTTTTTGGTTTTGATCTTGTTAATGTTGAGGTGCTTATTAGATATCCAAATGGAGATTTAGAATGGGCAGCTGGCTATATGAATCTGGAGTACAAAGAAGAGGCACCAGACTTGAGATAGAAATAAAGGCTTTATTAGTATATATAATCACAGAGGGTATGGTTGCCTAGGGAATAAAATAAAGATAAACAGGAGAAGAGTTTCAAGGACTAGCCCCTTGGATAAGCCACCTTTTTAGAGGCTAGAATAAAGATGAACATTTGCAAAGGAGATAATGAAGGGAGAATAAGTGAGGAAGGAGGAAAATCAAGAGTGAGTGATGTCTCTGAGAGGCCAAAGGATGAAAAATGTGTCGGGGGAAAAAGTGATCAGCTGTATCAAATGCTGCCAGTGAGGACTGAGGATTGATAATTGGATTTGGCAATGTGGAAATCACTGGTGACCTTGAGAAGAAAAGTTTCTGTGGGGTGGTGGAAATGAAAGTATTATTGGAGTAGGTTTAGGAAAGAATGAGAGGTGAGGGCGATGAAGACGTAAGTATAGATAGTTTTTTGAGGAATTTTGCTGTAAAACAGAGAAATAGGATAGTATCTATATGGTAAGGAGGATTTTTATTTCATTTGTGAGATTTTAAAGTGTTTGTATATGAAGTGAGTCAGTAGGGGAAGAAAAATTGATGCAGGGATAAGAGGGGACATTTACCTAAGAGGGATCCTTGATTAGGTGAGAAACAATGGATTAATAATAATTTCTTTATAGTAACTCACGAGAGACATTCTCATTTCATCAATTTGCTGGTATTTGACTATTATGGTATGCTACCTTTCCAGTTAAAACTTGTTCTAAATTTGGGAGCTGAGTTGAATCAACATATAATTAAGTTGAGTTTAGTATTCATAAAAAAGTAGCCAGACTTGTTTCCTTTTTGTAATTAATTTTAAATTGGAATAATTGGGAGTGACCTGGGAAATGGAATGTTTTAGCCTAAATTACAAATATGTTGATTTCCAAGTTACCCCAGATTTTAAAATGGATATTTGAAAATAGTTTTGGCTTTGGTGTGTTTCTGTGACATGCTGACTTTGTATATAACGTATAATAAATGTTATAATAAACATATAAACATATAAAAACATAAATATAAACATACAATAAACATATATAAATGTGCATTCATAGGCAATTTCTATTTCGTTAACATAGGAAGACTTTATAAGTATAGCCAAGTTTTATCTTATATGGTTTCCAGAAGTAATTATTTTCCTTTCCAAGGCTATCTTTTTTTTTTTTTTGAGGTAGAAAACAAATCTTTCATTGTTACTGGGTGCAGTGGCTCATGCTTGTAATCCCAGCACTTTCGGAGCCTGAGGTGGGAAGATGCTTGAGCTCAGGAGTTTGAGACTAGCCTGTGCAACATGGCGAAACCCCCTCTACAAAAAATACAAAAATTAGCTGGGTGTGGTGGCATGAGCCTGCAGCCCCAGCTACTCCAGAAGCTGAGATGAGAGGATCACTTGAGCCCGGGAGGTTGGGGCTGCACTGAGCTGAGATTGCACCACTGCACCCCAGCCTGGGTAATGGGAGTGAGACCCTGTCTCAAAAAAAAAAAAAAAAATATTGTTCTATGGCATGAAAGGGTTATGCTATTTAATAATTAGAAAAATCACATTAATCAAAAACTTACTTTAAGTTTTATAAATGTTAGCTCTCTAGTACTTGCTTTTCTTAGTTTTTATTTTTTATTTTTTTATTTTGGGACGGAGTCTCACTCTGTCACCCAGGCTGGAGTGCAGTGGCGCGATCTCAGCTCACTGCAAGCTCCACCTGCCGGGTTCACGCCATTCTCCTGCCTCAGCCTCCCGAGTAGCTGGGACTACAGTCGCCCACCACCATGCCCAGCTAATTTTTTTTGCATTTTTAGTAGAGACGTGGTTTCACCGTGTTAGCCAGGATGGTCTCGATCTCCTGACCTCGTGATCCGCCTGCCTCGGCCTCCCAAAGTGCTGGGATTACAGGTGTGAGCCACTGCGCCTGGCCTTCTTAGTTTTTTTTTTTTACCTTTATAGGCATAAATCATATCATGGAAACCTTAAATAAACTCAGAACCTGGATATAGTTGTAACTAATTAGGCTGTGTGAAAATGGCAAGTTTTTGAAAGTGCTTAAAAATATTGTTCATTTTTATATTGATATAGATTAAATAGAATAAATACCATTAAAGAATAAATATTGACCTGTCAACTGTTGTTCTATCTTAATGAATTCTAATCTGTGTGACATAAGGCAGGCACGTTTGGAGGATTTAAAAGAAATTAATTTGATTAGAAATGTACTGTGGTTGAATTCAGAACTACCTTACCTTGATGTGTAGGAGACAGTATGTGTCGCAGAGATATATATTGAAATGATCTCATGAGCTAAAAGTCTGAAATGCCTTTCTACATGACTTCCAGATATCTTCATACCAATCTTCTTGCTTGTCTTGCACTATGCAGAAATATGTCAGCAACCCCTAGAATGAAGCTGTACAGATATGCATCGCTTAAGAAACTTATTAAATATAAAAATGTAATCAAATAATTGGTTAACATGAATTTTTTTTACTATAAAACAGGTACTTTGAATATTGAAGCCCCCCTTATACATTTAAAATACTTGATATTAGTTAACCTAGTAGGACTTTGACTTGATATTAGTTAACCTAGTAGGAGTAGTATGGGAGAAAGGATACTTCCACTTTTCATTGTGTACCCTTTATTGTTTGACTTTTTTACTGTGTGCATGTGTTACTTTTAATATAAAAATTAGTTTAAAAAATGTAAATGCTAAAAAGCGTGTATATAGAAGACAAGTTTGTATATAGTGAAGCATACCTGTACAGTGCTCTACCACTGGATATCATGAGACAATCTTCATACATTATTTAGTTCTTCAAGTTACTGAGGATGCACAGCTTATTTGTCTCTAATTATTGTTTGTACTAAGCCATAGGATATTCATGTCAAAGTCTCAAATCCTATATGACAGTACAAAAAATATCTAGATATGCAACATTCTGGTTAGTTCATTCTTATTTGACTTCAATAACTTTAATAACTTTCCTTAGCTCAGACTATTTAATATTTATGAGATTCTATTATGTAAAAATAAAATATTCTGAATAATAACTATCTAACTTGGACTTTTTTGGGCACAATTATCTACTGATATTTTTTATCAAAACAGGAATCTTGAGGGCCATTGAGCAATGCCTACAAAATAAAAGAATAAAAGACTAGGTACAGCAAAATTAAATTGAGAGAGGCAATGTGGAAGCTGCTGCATTTGCAAATTATATAGGGCCAGTTGTCAATCAAATTGATCCCATCTGTTCAGAGGAGTTTTCTAATTTAGTTTCTAGCTTTTTAGATCTTACCTTAGCTTAAGTAGATCTTGTGACTTTTCCTATTGTTGGAGGAGATCTTCCCATTTCCTCTGGTTCAGTCTTCTCATTTCATCTAGTTCAATCTTTTTATTTTGCATTTTGCTACTATTAAGTAGAACTAGGACTATTGGACCTGACTTTGTTGAATCTTAGTTAAGTATTCCTTTATTATTCCCTGTATCCTCTTTGATGAAAAGCCTTACATAGAATGTGTGGTAGACTCTTGGCATTGACAGTTTATACTGTTCACCTGTGACCCTGAAGGTCTCAGAATGAACAAGTGAAAATCCATGTCCTGTAGTAATTGGTCATTTTTCTATGGTAAGAATTTGAATTATACCCACATTGGAAGGTTGCTGTGTGGGAAACTGTCACATAACCAGTAAATGTTCATGAGCAATGAATGGCCTTTGCATCCTCACTTGATTGCAGTTCCACAGGGAAAAACAGAAATTCTGGTGTCAGGAACTAGACTTGCCGACGTAAAGGGTCTACTGTGTAGGAGCAAAGGGAGAAGCAAAAGCACTCCCTGTTAAAAGAAGGATCAATTTTTAGAGGCAAGGTTTTAGCTTGATAAAATGTTGTAGGTATTAAGTATAATTTTGTGTTTGCCTTCATGATATGTTAGGTTGGGAATCAGAGTGACTTGGAAAAGTTAGTGGGGATGGCTTTTTGCATTAAGGACTTTAAGAGCTTTTAAAAGACTAAGTGGGACAGGCCAGGCGCGGTGGCTCATGCCTGTAATCCCAGCACTTTGGGAGGCTGAGGCAGGCGGATCACAAGGTCAGGAGTTCAAGACCAACCTGGCCCATATGGTGAAACCCCGTCTCTACTAAAAATAGAAAAATTAGCCAGGTGTGGTGACGGATGCCTGTAGTCCCAGCTACTCGGGAGGCTGAGGCAGGAGAATCGCTTGAACCTGCTAGGTGGAGGTTGCAGTGAGCCGAGATGTGGCCACTGCACTCCAGCCTGGGTGACAGAGTGAGACTCTGTCTCAAAAATAAATAAATAAATAAAAATAAAAAATAAAATAAAATACTAAATGGGACACACTTTTACAGTGCATATTAGAATATCTGTAGAGCTTAAATTTTCATTGTTTTGGCTGTTATGCACAAAAGAAAAAACTTTAGCCGTTTCTTTAGTGAAGCCTCCTTTATTATGAATGATCTCTTGATAAAACGTTGTTTCCACATACATGTAGAATCGCAGGGTCTGTTAGCGAGAGAAAGATTAGGAAAAGAGCATCTGTAGTGTGATTTGATTGTCATTATTCTGATTTTCTTCATTACCATGTTTCTGGGCGAGGATAAAGGAAATTACAAGAAATTATCTTCTTTGATTATTATCTTCTTCCTCCTTTGATGAAGTAGAGTTCTTTGTGGTGGGGTAAAGAGGCACAGTGCACTGACAGATTTTTTTTTTCAATACTCTGCAGTGTAGCCTCGAAGTTAAGACCTTTTCAACTTAAGACTCTCCTTCTCTCCCTGTAACTGTCTTGTCTTTACTCCAAGCAGACTTGGAAGTCTTCAGCTCCTGAATGGACTGAAACCACGAAATCTGAGTTCCATTATTAATCATGTATTTACCTTAGCTAATTGTGTTTTCAAAACTTTCATCCTTTCGTGTAGTTTTATAGGGTATATGCTCTGTAAGAATTCTCGTTTTCAGGCTTATTGCTTTTCCTATGCCACAGACTCCTTCCTTTCTTCCTTCAAACATGTAAAGATCTCTTATAGTGGGTAACAGTATGTATTCTAGAGCCAGGCAGTCCTGGCTGAAGTCCTGACTTGGTCCTGGCTATCTCTGTGAACTTGAGCAAGTTTCTTAACCTCTCTGTTTTAGTTTCTTCATCTGTAAAATGACAATAATAATAATTCCTACCTCATATGGTTGGAGTGGGGATTACATGATTTAATACTTTGAAGTACATAGAAGATGCCTGATACATAGGAAGTAGTCAGTAAATGTTACTATTATTATCATTATCCTTTTCATCATCTCCCATGCTCAGTCACTGAGATTTGTTAATTTTTCTTTTTTAGACTCTATCACATTTGCTTCTCTTTGCCCACCAGCACTGATAGAGTTCCAGACCATGACATTAGTACCTCATGCTTGGGTAGAGTACTGCCACAATTTTCAAGAGAGCTTCTATTAACACCCTCCTGCCTCTAATTGCTAGTTTGTGCCAGTGCTTTTCAGTACTAGACTAATAACAGTTTGATATTGTCACACCCCTGCCCAAGAGCTCACAGCATTTTTCAGAATCTTGTTTTATCAAGCCCCTATTCCCTTACCTGACTCTGGCTTATCATTACTCTCTTCCTCTACTCAGGCCTGTCTTGTATTTTCTCATCTACCTTATGTACTTGGACATTTGCTCATGTTCTTCCTTTAGTCTTTAGGCCCTTCCTTAATGTCCTTACCTTTGTACTCTTATTATTTCTGTCCTAGCCATACATAAAGAATCCAATGATTCTTTCTTTTCTTGTTTTTTTTTTTTTTAATTTTGAAATAAAGTCTCGCTCAGTCACCCAGGTGGAGGGCAGTTATGGGAAGAATCCAGTGTTTCTAAGAGCCTTTCTGGATGTTAAGAACTGAGCTTGGTCAGGAACAGGATTGGTAGAAATGGGAGAGACTCAGACTAGAAAGACAGGTTGATTTAGAGATCAGAGTATGGATTGGGGATTAGAGCCTTTAAATTTAAGAATGACAAAGAGGAGCTAAAGTCTGAAAAGAAGATCTAAGGTGGAAGGAGCAGTTTAAGGTGTAAGGATTAGGAAGTGAAGGGATGGTATATGAGTGACAACTGAGAGCAAAATTTCTAGGGAGTGTTGAACATCTGAGATGTCGCTAAGGTTTGAGATAGAGCTGGGCAGATCCAGATGGACCAGCTGGTTTTAAGGTCCACATGGACAGGCAAGATGGCGTACTTATAAACTGGTAAGAGAACTAGTTAAGATCAAGAACCAGGTGTTAGCAGTCTGAAGCAGTGAGCAGTGACGTCTCAGGCACTCAGAGACTGGAGTTGTAACAGAATAAAATAGGTCTCCTGGTAAGGCTCTAGTATCAAAATTAGCACAGGATAACATCAAAACTGAGTGTGCTGAGCCAAAAGACTACTAAATTTCCTTCTGGCTAAGATCAGAACTGGGTTGTGAGAATATTGCTGTTTTGAGGCAACTTGATAGGCTCCTTTACCAGAGGTATAGGGCTAGAGTGACTACGATTAATTAAGGCCTTCACTGATTTCAGTGAACTTAGTGTATGTTCCATATTATTGAGCTCCCAATTAAACGCCACTACTATCTTGTATTGCTGTAGTAGACAGCTGTGAGTCTCATTTTCTCCATTCATATCTTAAGCTACTTCAGATTAGGACCATTTTTAAAAAAGAGCCTTGTTGTGATATGATTGGCATACCAATGTGTACATTTAAAGCACACAATTTGATGTTTGACCTATGTATGAGGATAAAACTATCACAATCAAGAAAACGAACATATTCATCACCCTCAAAAGTTTCCTTGTGTTCGCTTATAATTCTTCCTTTCTGTACCTGTACCTCTTTTTCCCCTCTCTTCCCCTTTCTATATATATATATATATATATATATATATATAAATTTTTTTTTTTTTTTTTTTTTTTTTTTTTTTTAAAGAGGTGGTATCTCGCTCTGTCATCCAGGCTGGTGTGTGGGCGTGATCATAGCTCACTGTAATATAGAACTTGGCTTAAGCAATCCTCCTGCCTCAGCCTCTTCAGTAGCTGGGACTACAGGCATGTGCCACCATGCCTCGCTATTTTCTAGAATTTTATTTAAATGGAACCATACAGAATAAGCTATTTTTGTTTGACTTTCTTCCATTCAGTATATTTATTTTTACCCCCTTAAAAAAAAGTATAGTTATTTTGAGTGTCAGTAGTTCACTTCTTTTTATTGCTGAAGAGTATTCCATTGTATGGATATATCTCTATTTTTTCATATACCTTTTGAGACCAGGAAACAGTCATTCTGTGCGTGATAAGAGAATTGACTGAATTCGGAGACCAGAGGATGAAAGGGAAAAATAGTATGGAGAGAAAACGAGAATAATTATCTTTGTCTTCGAAGGAAGTGAGTTGTTATAATAGTTGTAGGGTATTTGTTTTGGTCTGACTTGACTTCCTGTTGGTTTATCATTTTTCTGTAATAGTCTGCTAATGCTACTGAAGAGGAGTATAAAAAAACTCAGTTATAGGCCAAGTGCGGTGGCTTATGCCTGTAATTGCAGTGCTTTTTGAGGCCAAGGCAGGAGGATCACTTGACCCCAGGAGTTCAAGACCAGCCTCAGCAACAGAGAACTCAGGTCTGTTAAAAATAACAAATGAGCCAGATAATGGTGGCATGCGCCTATGGTCTCAGCTACTGAGGAAGCTGAGGCAGGAGGATTGCTTGAGCCTGGGAGGTTGAGGCTGAAGTGAGCCATGATTGCACCACTGTATTGCAGCCTAGGTGACAAAGTGAGACTCTGTCTCAAAAAAAAAAAACAACAACAAAAACCAACCTCAATAATCGTGTTACATAGCAACTTCAAGTAAACTTGAACACCTCTAAATTTGTCTTTCAGACAAAAAAAAATTACAAAGTATTTTTAAAGTTTAGAATTGGAACACAGTATAGATCATGTGTTTCCTAATTTCTTCTAGAAGTCACATCATTAACTACATTGTTATTTAACATATGCTCTCAATTCTGTTGTGTTTACCATAGGTACTGTATTTATTTCAAGGTTTTTCTTTCTAGAATATCTTGATTTTGAATCTGATGATTAAGTTTAAAAATATTTTGTTTTGTAGCCATGCAGGATATACGTACTGTGGGTCTTGTGCTGCCCATGCTTATAAACAAGTGGATCCGTCTATTACGTAAGTAATGTAGTTTTGTTTTAAGTCGGAGAAGCTTGAGAATTTATTGCTTTGTTATAGAAGTAATTTGCTTTTTATACTTATTGTTATTATGTACTCAATTTCATGAGGGATTTGACTTTTGATGAATTTTACTATACTTTGTATAGGTTACTGAAAACTTCAATACTTCTTTTTTGTTGTTGTTGGAGCATTTGATTTTTACCTTCCCTTTGGCATGTAAAATGTTTAGTTATGAAGGTTAAATATTTTGTTTTTTGATATTTCTTTGAAAACCCAGAGATGAGCATTCTTAAGAAAAATGCAAAGCCCTCTGATCTGTTTTAATCATTTCGTAATTTAAGATTCTTTATTGTACTTGTTAAAATTGTGGTTACTGAAAGGATAATTTCTCGTTGACAGGATAAGGTATTTGAAATATTTTAGAATCTGACAGTGAATTTAATATGGTGTTTGAGGCATATTAACTCTTAATAATTCAATGACAGCTCTGAAATTAGCTTAGAAAAAAAAAAACTTCCTGGGAACTTGAGACTCTTTTAATAGTATACTACTCTGTAAGAAACTTGTGAACTTACAAGAGGTTTTGCTGGAAATAGTCACTCATTTTATTTACACAGTTAATTTACTAGATATGAACCAATATCTGGCCCTTCTTTGCCAGATGTACAAGCTATGTGAATAGGTAAAGCGATCATCTTAGTTCTGTCAAATACTGATTGTTAGGTCTGAATTAGTAGAGATGTAGGATAGTTATTCAAAAGAAATAGCTCATAGCAGCCATGATTTAATAAAGAAAATCATGCACAGACCACTTGCCTTTGAGCAGTTCATTCAAAGTTTTAAAACAAAAAAGCTGTTCTTTCAAATTTTTATGTAGCGTTCTCTGTACATTGTATTATAATTCATTGAAAATTATTTTTAGCAAGTTTTTACTAAAAATAAAGCAATAATATTTCTAAATTGGTGAGGTTTTGGCTAGCCCTGTCTCATTTATGATGTTTTGAGGAGCATTGTTAACAATTATTCCTTGATACATGCTTAATATATAATCTTAAGTAATTTCATGAATAAGAGCAAATAGAAGTTAAATTGAAATGATTTTTTAGTCTGGGCCTGGTGGCTAACACCTGTAATCCCAGCACTTTGGGAGGCTGAGGCGGGCCGATTACCTGAGGTCAGGAGTTTGAGACCAGCCTGGCCAATATGGTGAAACCCCGTCTCTACTAAAATACAAAAAAAAAAAAAAAAAAAATTGCCAGGCGTGGTGGCACACGCCTGTAGTCTCAGCTACTTGGGAGGCTGAGGCAGGGGAATCACTTGAATCCGGGAGGTGGAGGTTGCAGTGAGCCAAGATCGCGCCACCGCACTCCAGCTTGGCAACAGAGCAAGACTGCGTTTCAAAAAAAATATATATATATTTTATAAGCTTCTTTCATTTGACTTGGGCCTATAAACCAGCTATAATAAAAGTTAGTTTATATAACAGCCTTTTCTTTTTGAAACCTTCCTCTATTTGGCAGAAGTTTTATTGATAAAACTCCTGTGCTGATGGGACACCCCAGAGTTAAATTAGGTTTAGGAATTTGTAGAGGGGTATAGATAGAGTTTATGTTCATAGAAGTGGAAAGCATGTGTTAAATAGGTTAATGGAAAGTGAGAAAGAAGGCAAAAGGAAAGAGGAAAAAATGGAAGAGCGCCAAGGACTAAGAAGAGGAAGATTTAAGAAGATGAGTAGAAAGAGAGGCAAATGATGGCTGATGTGATCGAATTATTTTATTCTAATTAATTAATTAAGTATTTTTGAGACACAGTCTGGCTCTGTCACCCATGCTGGAGTGCAGTGGTGCAGTCTTGGCTCACTGCAACTTCTGCCCCCAGGTTCAGTCAGTTCTCCTGCCTCATCCTCCCAGGTAGCTAGGACTACAGGTGCACGCCACCACACTGAGTTAATTTTTTGTATTTTTAGTGGAGACACGCTTTCGCCTGGCTTTGGCCAGGCTGGTTTCAAATTCCTGACTGCGGGTGATCCGCCCACCTCGGCCTCCCAAAGTGCTGGGATTACAGGCATGAGCCACTGTGCCCAGCCCGATCAAATTATTTTTTGTAATTAGTATATAATAACTGAATTCTGAATGAATAAATTTTAAGGTCTAAGTGTAAAATTAATAATTGACAGTCACAGTTGAATTCTCTTGAAAGAGGCACTCTCTGGGAATTATAGTGTCTTTAGAGTGCTTTGAGAAAGTAGAGGAAGAACATCCTTAGAGAAAGGTTAAATTCTATACTACCACTTTCTATTCTTACCTTCCACATTAATCCATTTTTGTTCTATATTTCAGCCAGGATCATCTTTTGAAAATGTAAATGATACCCTGTCACTTTCCAGAATTTAAAAGTGGGTGGGGGGTACAAATATGATTTTAAAAGGCATTACAAATAACAGGTAAAAATTATTCCAAAATTGATGATAGAATGCTGACTAGCAGCTTGGAAAAAGAATTGGTTTAGAACCTCTGCTAACACCATCCATCAAAGTAAATACTAGTTAGATAAGGGTATTAACATATCTGGAGAGGAATTTCAAGCCACAGCTAATTTGGAACACAATATGTCTTAATGTTTATGAGACATTGTTGGGAAGAGTATAAAACATGATAAATTATAATTAAATTACATGAAAAAATAACTCATGTCATAATGTAACCAGTGGAAGCGATGAACGGAATGGGAAAAATATTTGCAAAAAAAGACAAAGGATAATATCAAAAATAATAAAAATCATAGTACTTAGAGGCTAAATCATCAAAGAATATTAACTGAAATTACAAAAAGTAAATGTAATTAATAAAAATAAAAATGGAAATATGTTTTATTTTTCAAAAAAATGGAAATAAAAACAGTAGTGAGGTACCAATTTAAATGAACAGTTTGAAGAACAATACAGCTATGTAATTCCTGTAATCCAGAACTGGCTAGATTATGGCAAAATTAGTTTTTTATAAAAAAATGCATTTCAATGGACTATATCAGGTTAATACTTTAGGAAAGCAATTTGATAATATATATTAAGAGTCATAAAAATGTATATAGTTACTGGCTTAGAAATTCACGTTCGGAAGCTCTATCCTAATAAGTCCCAAAATGGAAAAAGTTAAATGTGTTAGGTTTTCTACAGCAGCATTGTTTTTTAAAGAGTCTAAGTTTCTGATAGTGCATTGACTAAATAAAAAAAGCGGGGTATAACATTGTGTAAAATTGGGAAAAAAGAGAATGTACTATATGAGGTTAAATAAATTATTATAACGAATGCTAATAGTTTGCATGTGTTTTCTTATATGAGAAATGGATATATTTTTATGGTAAAAAATATAAAATTTAAAAGCATTTGTGCAAAAATGATTACAAGTTGTGGGGACTAATGATTCTTAAACTGACAGAATGATTCTTTGATTTATAATAGGACTGGTCAGGGTCTAATAAGATTTTTCTTTTTCTTCTTCTTTTTTTTTTTTTTTTTGAGATGGAGTCTCTCTTTGTCACCCAGGCTGGAGTGTAGTGGCGCAATCTTGGCTCACTGCAACCTCCGCCTCCTGAGTTCAAGTGATTCTCCTGCCTCAGCCTCCCAAGTAGCTGGGATTACAAGCGTATGCCACCAGGCAGGCCTGGCTAATTTTTTTATTTTTAGTAGAGACAAGGTTTTACCATGTTGGCTAGGCTGGTCTCGAACACCTCACCACAACTGATCTGCCTGCCTTGGCCTCCCAAAGTGTTGGGATTACAGGCATGAGCCGCTGTTCCTGGCCAAGATTTTTCTTTTCACAGTAACTATTAGGGGGCTGATAACTTAATGGGGAGTGTGAGAGGCAGCTTTTGAGGTGATAATGAAGATTGTTTACAAACAAACTTGCCTGTTCTATGAAGAATTGGTAGCAAAGGTTTTCAGGTGTTGTTTTCCAAGAGAAATGGATGAATAAATTAAAGCATATTTATTTTAAAAGTTTATTAAGTGACTGCTATGATCCAGATATTGTGGTAGTGCTAGAGACACAGTGATTAATAAAACAGGCATGGTTTTAGCCCTGTGCTGCTAAATTGGTAGGTGAGATAGATATTAAGCATATGATAATGAATATAGATATCTTATTAAAAGCTAAAAATTTAATTAAAAAGCTGAAAGTGAAATACAGTGGTTCTCAAACATCTTGGTTTCAGGAACCCTTAACTTATTAAGGACACCAAATGTAGACCACATCTACCTTTGTGGAATGCATTCAAAATTAAAATGAGATACTTAAAAAATTATTTAAAAAAGTAAACAAATTAGAGGTTAATAAAAATAACATTTTTAAAAATGAGAAATAAATACATTTTCTAATAGAAGATAGTGGGAAAAGTGGCATTGCTTTACTTTTTTTTTTTTTTTTACAAAATATAAAAATGTCTTACAGTTTTACTAGTTATTAAATCTCCTTTTAATGTTTGGCTTAATAAAAGACAACTATGTTTTCATATCTGGTTATGCATTCACCCTGTTTTGATCATTTGTTTTAGTTGACGTATATGAAGAAACCTCACACAGATATGTAGTTAGAAAAGGAAGAGGAGTAGTGTAATTACCTTTGCAGATAATTGTGGATATTTTTCTTTAATACTACACCAAAACTCAACAAATGGTAGTTTCTTAAAGGTTAGTTATAATGCGAAATCTGAAGTTACTATCAATGAATTTTTGTACTTATTTTTTTGAGACAAAGTCTTGCTCTGTCACCAGGCTGGAATGCAGTGGCGCTATCTCAGCTCACTGCAACCTCCACCTCCTGGATTCAAGTGATTCTCCTGCCTCAGTCTCCCGAGTAGCTGGGACTACAGGCGAACGCCACCATGCCCAGCTAATTTTTGAATTTTTAGGGTTTCACCATGTTGGCCAGGATGGTCTCAATCTCTTGACCTTGTGATCGACCTGCCTCGGCCTCTCAAAGTGCGGGGATTACAGATGTGAGCCACCGCACCCAGCCGAATATTTGTACTTTGTATAAATTCATTGTCTGTTTTACAGTTTGAATGGCTCTTTTACCCTGGCATAATTTTGTAACGTGTGGAGCATTTGGAAAATTTTTATTGGATTATGCAGATATTTTCAATGCTGGTATTTCATTATATGATAGTAAAAAATCACTTTTTGTTTTGTTTTGTTTTGTTTATTTTTCTTTTTTTTTTGAGGCAGAGTTTCGTGCTTGTCGCCCAGCTGGAGTGCAGTGGCAGGATCTCAGCTCACTGCAACCTCCACCTCCTGGGTTCAAGGGATTCTCCTGCCTCGGTCTCCCGAGTAGGTAGGATTACAGGCACATGCCACCACGCCCTGCTAATTTTTGTATTTTTAGTAGAGACGGTTTCACCATGTTGGCCATACTGGTCTCAAACTGCTGACTTCAGGTGATCCACCCACCTCGGCCTCCCAAAGTGCTGGGATTACATGCGTGAGCCACTGTGCCTGGCAAAAAATAACATTTCTTAATGTCACCATGTATTTTATCAGAAAAAATCATTAATTCTTTGGAGGCTATCAAGCTTACAGTGATAAAAGTTTTATGAAAGTCCAATTTTCACTTGAAAACCTTAATTTTATCATTGACAACAAGTATATTATTTTCTTTAAAGTGCTAGATTCTGTTTTTTTTTTTTTTTTTCCCTTTTGAGACAGGATCTTGCTCTGTCACCCAGTCTGGAGTCAGTGGCATGATCATAGCTCACGCAGCGTTGAATTCCCAGGCTCAAGTGATCCTCCTATTCCAGCCTTCTGAGTAGCTAGGACTGCCAGCCTGTGCCAGCATGCCTGGCTATTTTTTAAAAATTTATTTTTGTAGAGATGTGGTCTCACTATGTTGCTCAGGCTGGTCTTGAACTCCTGGCCTCAAGCTGTCCTCCCACCTCAGCCTCCCAAAGTGCTGAGATTACAGGCATGAACCACCGTGCCTGACTTCCATTCACTTTGGGGAAATCTTCTGCCAGCTACCTAAATTGGAATAGCCGTAATTTATCTACAGTTGTCTTTTGAAGTAAAAATTTTGTTCCATGAGGAAAATGTCTGGTTCAGCTTACAACTCAAAACTACACAACTGCTTTTTCCTGAAACATACTTCCATATGCAGCAGAAATGTTTTATCACCACAGATTGAATGCATTTTGTCATATAGAATATTAAAAAGATACCTACTCGAGAGTCAAGATTTAATGAAATTAGGAACTCCCTTTTAAACTTAGTGTGAGTAAGGTTAAAAAATAGGACTGCTAGTGCATGTTGATGATACTGCTTTGATCTTTGTTCTAATGGGCCAGTGGTTTTACGCTCCCCTCACCTTTGCACCATAAGTGCAAATGAAAAAAGTAAATAACTTCCTTGCATTCTTATGAAAATAGTTTTAATTTTATGGACTGCTGCATAGGGTCTTGAGGAAAACCAGAATTCCAGAGTTCACAGTTTGAGAACTATTGTGGTAGACCTTAAGAGGGTGACTTGATTTAAATTGTGGGAAAGGTATTGGGGAAAGTATCTCCGGGAACAGATTTTTTTTTTTTTTTTTTTTTTTTGAGACGGAGTCTTGCTCTGTCCCCCAGGCTGGAGTGCAGTGGCACAATCTCAGCTCACTGCAACCTCTGCCTCCCGGGTTCAAACGATTCTCCTGCCTCAGCCTCCTGAGTAGCTGGGATTACAGGCGTGTGCCACCACGCCTGGCTAATTTTTTGTATTTTTAGTAGAGATGGGGTTTCACCATGTTAGCCAGATGGTCTCGATCTCCTGACCTCGTGATCCGCCTGCTTCAGCCTCCCAAAGTGCTGGCATTTCAGGCATGAGGCACTGCACCCAACCGAGGAACACATTTTTTAAGCCAGGGTAGCCAAGCAATGGGGAACAATAGCATGGGTGAAAAGTTTGAAGTAGGCAAAGTTGTTGGTGTTATCAAGGAACTGCAAGAAGACCAGTATACATCAGGTATTATGATCAAGGTGGGCAAGAGTAATAGCTAATTTGCTAGGGCATTTAAGAGTGTAGAGCCCATTTTAAGGATTCTAGATTTTATCCTGTGACCATGAAATGCCATAAAAGGCTTTAAGCAAGGAAAGTGATATGATCTATGTTTCCAGAAAATCACTTTGACTGTTTAAGGAAGTTTAACAATGATACATTTTAGTTCTTTTCCATATTGGTAGTTGACTATTATTAAAACTCTAAAAACTCAGAATTCAGGATGTCCTTAGGTAGTAGTAACTTGATTTTGATACATATTTTTCAGCAAGCCTTGCAGGACAGAAAAAGAGAGCAAAAAGGAATGCTTTTTGGGGCCAGATGACATTTTATTCTTTGGTTAAAATGTCTTCACTTCCTGTGAAACACGTTTACAAAATTACTTATGTTCCATTATTTGGACTAAGTAGCTGAATAAACAGTCATGAGGGTACACACTCAGGCAGCTTATACATTGGGTGCACAGACTATCATTGCAAATGTGAATTCTCTATTATAGCTATTATATATGAAGTACATTTATTTCTAAGAGAATGCCTACTGATCTTGCTCCTTCCCCCCATTTTTTCGTGTTAAAGGTTTTTTTTTTTTTTAACTTGTGTATCACCGATGATGTGCTAATATTGAAAAGTTACGCCTTTAAAGACAAAGCACCTTGCAGTCAAATAAAGGAAGAGAAAGTGGCATTGCTTCTAATGCCTCTATTATTTATTTCTCTTCAAAATATCCCTGTGGCCTTGGTGTTTACGGATCTAGCATTCTAACAAAGAAAATGCATGAACTTTAATGTACACTATTCATTTTTTTTGTTAGCATTTAGCTAACAAGGAGACCCATTTTGAGATTACGGCTGGTTTAAATGTCCCATTTTACTTTCCTTTCAATGACATTTAGCTTTTTCTGGTTTTGTTTTTAGATATATTGCTTTTAAGGGTTTTATATTGAGGGGACTTAAACCTTTTTTTCTTATTATTTCTTTTAATCAAATATGGAACTTGATTTGGCTATTGGTGAGTTTTCTACCAAACCAGAAAGAATCTGTAGAGTACAGAATTGGTTAATTCAGATTGGTGGGGCTCTTTTTCCTTCATCTAGATTGGGGCAGACAAAAAGGCAAACAAGGAAAGTAGTCAGGTATCAGAAGAGTTAATTAGGCTTCCAGCAGACCTCTGGTGTTTATTTCTGGAGCAGTGTATCTTTTGGCTATTGTTAGAACCTTATTACACTTACTTAGGAAATTTATGTATGCCTTGAATTTAGATTGTTATTTTAAAAATCACTTCATATTTTGACTGTGTGTTTCAGATTTTCCAGGAGTGCTCTGATGTTAAATATCCTTTCTCTCTGTCTTTTCATATTTTCCTCAATCAGAAAAATGCCCTTTCTCATTATTTGATTCTTGGTTCATATACTACCTGGCCCTAGTCAGGCTACCTAAACATTTCTGAGTTACCATTCTCTATAGCCCACGTAAGCCTTTAATTTAAAACAAAGTGTCATGTTATTTATGTGCTATTAAGATAGGTGACCAGAGTGCTATCTTTTAGTTTTTCTTCATTTAGAAATCTATAGATTTGACTTTTTTTTTGAAATGGTTCTCGAATTGATGATAGAGGTGATGACAAGAAGTGAGGATTAGCAGTGCTAATAATTACATATTGAAGGAAGAGAGGTAGAAAGATTCTGTCGTCTATAAGGAACTTAAATTAACGAGCAAGAAACAATCCAGTTGAAAAGAGGGCAAAGGACATGAACAGACACTTTTCAAAAGAAGATACATACGTGGCCAACAAGCATATGAAAAAATTCTCATAATCACTAATCACTAGAGAGATGCAAATCAAAACCACAATGAGATACCACCTGATAATAGAGTGGCGGTTATTGAAAAGTCAAAAATTAACAGATGCTGGCAAGGTTGTGGAGAAAAATAAATGTTTATACATTGTTGGTAGGAGTGTAAATTGATTCAATCATTGTGGAAAACAGTGTGGCGATTTCTCAAAGAACTTAAAACAGAAGTAACTCTGGGCCCCGCAGTCCCATTATTGGGTATGTACCTGAAGGAATGTAAATTGTTCTGCCATAAAGACATATGTACACATGTGTTCACTGCAGCACTGTTCACAATAGTAAAGACAAGGAATCAACATAAATGCCCATCAGTGGTAGACTAGATAAAGAAAATGTGGTACATATATACACTATGTAATATTACACAGCTCTTTAAAAGAATGAGATCATATCACTTGCAGCAACATTGAGCTAGAGGCCATTATCCTAAGCAAACTCCCGTAGGAACAGAAAACAAATACTGCATGTTCTCACAAGTAGAAGCTAAGTATTGAGTACATATGGACGTAAGGAAGGGAACAACAGACACCGAGACCTACTGGAGGGTAGAAGGTGGGAGGAGGATGAGGATAAAAAAACTACTTATGGAATACTAGGTTTATTACCTGGGTGTCCAAATAATCTGTACACCAAACCTTGGCAACACGTAATTTACCTATATTACAAACCCGTACAGGTACCCTTGAACTTAAAGTAAAAGTTAAAGAAAAGGATAATCTGTTTCTGACCAGAAATGGCCTGTGGATGAAGTCTTAATGTTTGCTGTATGTGCTGTCTTAAGGAGGTTTTGGGACTCTAAACTGAGAATCACTTACCCACAACTTTCTTTTTTTTTTTTTTTTCATAGCAGAACAACTTAATATCCACAGCTTTATCTCCTCCCTGCAATTTATGAAGTAACATATAACCAATAATTGGTTAATTTTCTTAGCTGTAATAGAATTTTATGAGAATAAATACATTGCTAAAGCACACATTCCCTGGCCTGCAAATTTTTGACAGAAAAGAACTAGCTCATCTCTCAGCTTTTGTTCATTAATTGAGCAATCAGTAATACTTTTCTAGCTACATAGCATATCATATATTTTCTTCTCATAGTTTTGGCTTTATGAGTCTGTAAGTTTTGTATGTGATGTGGGAAGGTTGGTTCATATGAATTTTGGAGAACAGAGAAAATTGATAGTTTTGGAATTCAGATTGTAGGGCAGGTTTGGGTATTTGACAGAATGAGAGGAAATTAACATTACTCTTGATGTCAAGATAAAGAGATTGTAAAGATTTAAGCTACACTTTAGCTCAGTTCTTTTCTTTAGACTACAGTGCAAATAACACATAATCTAGTTTCTTTGTTTTTGAGAATGACTTCTACTTGAATGGGAATAGAGAAAGCTTATTATATAGAATTCTTTTCAACAAGATGCCTTTTTCACCCTACCATGGAAGAAATATGGAAATAGCTTTATCAGAATGCTTTTTTATAATGGATATTTTGTATAGATATTTAGAATTTTATGCTATTATGCATTTTTATTAAAATCATGGTGGATCTTAGAAGGTTATTTTAGAATGTGTTAGAATTTTGAAATTTTAGTAGCTTAAATGCATAAAATCCATTTAATAAAATACAGCTTCTGAATACCTGTTGCATCCTTGTCATTGAGAGTATAGAGATTATTTTATGCATAGTGGGTTGGTTTACTGTATTAATTGATAACTGGTATTTCCAAGTATTGAATATGATTCTCTTAAAGGCCATCCAACAAAGACAGAAATAAGGAATTGAACTTAACTGAGGAGCAAGTCATTATTAGGTGTATTAGTTTGCTAGGGCTGTCATAACAAAATACCACAGATTAGGTGGTTTAAACAACACAAATTTATTTTTTAACAATTCTGGAAGCTTGAAATTCAATATCAAGTTTCTGTCAGGGTTGGGCCCCTTCTGACATGATCATATCTCTGTGCAGGCATACTTCTGGTGTCTCTTTTTCCTATAAGGACACCAGACTCATTGGATGAGGTCCCCACTCTAATGGCCTCATTTGAACTTAATCGCCTCTTTGAAGACCTTATCTCTAAATAGCACTACAGTCTGTGCTACTGGGGATTGGTTCTTCAACATGTGAATTTTGGAGGGGAACACAGTTCAGCCATTAACAGTTGGTAATTAAGAAGGAAAACAAGTGATTTGTAAGAATTACTTTTTTCTCTTTTATTTAATAAGGTTTGTGTAGAAGTGCAATTGTTACGTGTTTTTTTGTTGTGTATCTCCTAGCCGGAGAATTTTCATCCTTGGGCCTTCTCATCATGTGCCCCTCTCTCGATGTGCACTTTCCAGTGTGGATATATATAGGACACCTCTGTATGACCTTCGTATTGACCAAAAGAGTAAGTATATAGAAATATTATAGCTTTCAAATAGCTAATGTTCTTTTAACAGGACTTGTAAATTAATTTAAAAACTTATGAATATCATAAGTAATATCTCAATATTTAAAATAAAAATTGTTATAACTAATCTGCATAAAACAGCAAAAAAAGAAACTCTTCCATATCCCTAAAAGGCAACTAGTGTTTTTTAGCTAGCTACAGAAATCTGTCAGATCTGCCAGTGTGCAGATTGTAGTGGTTACATTAATATTCAGAAAAATGCCATGTACTCAGTGTACCAGGAGACAAAAAATTAGTACCCATACCAATTTCATAAAGATTCTGGGCGTGTTAATTTACTTCCATGTAACGCCACTTTTCTCACTGTAAATAGATAATGCTGATAATATCTTTATTTTCTTTCAAATGATTTTTATGGGAAAAAATGAGCCTTTAATTATGAAACTCTGAAAGAAAGGTGCTATATAAATGATAAATATATTTTATTTTTAAACATGCCTACAATTTTGGTTGATTTATTTTTTTCCATAGGCGTCCAGAGTCACGTTTTTATTTAGTAGTTCTTACACAATAGATGTATAAAGTAAAAATCTTTTGATTTTATAAAGGTATTTTTTCTTTTGGGGGGGGGAGTAATTTTAAAAATATAGAACAGTATAAAGAGTACTATAAGAAATTAACTGATGTACTTAACATCCACAATTTATTCAGAATTTCTCGCTCATCCTGAACCCAATTTACCTTCCCAGAAGTAACCACCTTCATGATCTGGGTATATGTCCTTTCAGTTAGTCAAATTATTCACACACACGCATGTACACACACACACACACACACACACACACGTGTATGTGTGTGTGCATGTGCATGTATACATATGCATATATATGTACACACACGCCCATATGTGTGTATATATATAAACACACACACACACACCCCGACACACACATATATATATTTTTGTTTTTAGAGATGGGGTCTCACTCCGTTGCCCAGGCTGGAGTGCAGTGGCATGATTATAGTTCACTGCAGCCTCAAACTCCTGGGCTCAAGTGATCCTCCTACCCCAGCCTCCCAAGTAGGTAGGACTACAGGCACACATCACCAAACCCAATTAATTAAAAATATTTTTTTTGGTAGAGGTAGGGTCTTGCTATGTTGCCCAGGCTGATCTTGAACTCCTGGTCTCAAGCAATTCTCCTGTCTTGGCCTCCCAAAGTGCTGGGATTATCAGTGTGAGCCACTGTACCTGGCCTCAAATTATATTTTTAAGTATGTTAGGGGTGCTATTGTTTCAAAGAATTTTGCAGAAATTTCTTGTATAGAATAAAAGAGTCAAGGCCTAGTGTGGTGGTTCATGGCTGAAATCCCAGCACTTTGAGAGGCTGAGATGGGCAGACTGCTTGAGCTCAGGAGTTTGAGACCAGTCTGAGCAATGTGGCAAAACCCCATCTGTACAAAAAAATACAAAAATCTGCTGGGCATGGTAGCACGTAGCTGTAGGTTGGGGGAGGGCATGGGGCAGCGAGGTAGGAGGATGGCTTGAGCTCCGGAGGTAGAGGTTTCAGTGAGCTGAAATCATTTTGCTGTCCCCAGCAAAATGCTGTCACCCAGCCTGGCCTGGGTGACAGGGTGAAGCCCTGTCTCCAAAAATAAATAAATAAATATAAAAATAAAATAATAAAAGAGTCCATTTGCAAGAAAAAATTCTTCTTTCTTATTTTTGGCATAAGTTTTCATAATTTGAGGCTTTAGGTATCACACAATATTAGCAATTTGTTAATGCGTCTTATTAATGAAATGAGTATTTCTAACCTTACTTCCTGAGAGGGTTTTAGGGAACACATTTTACTTTTAAAACCTTGTTGGGGCATTCAGAAAATTTTAATTTTGGGTAGCTTGCCAGTGAAGAAATAGAGAATTTTTTCAAGAAAAGAGGTCATACAACCATTTATTTCTTTCTTTGATACAGGTAAACCCATTTAAGGATCTAATTATAAAATTGGTTCTATTCTATGCTAAAAATATTCTTATACATATTTTTTACATGTTAACTTTTATCTTTTTCTTGTTCCACAATATTCAATTTTAAGCACAGTTCATCAGAAAGGCCTGAATTACTAGGTGTTTTAAAGTTGGGACGGTATTGTGGCGAATTTATATTTTGATCCATCCTACAAGCTTAATTTTGAATTTTCAGGAAAATAGCATTAGTGAGAATTTTCTCTTCTTGGTATGGCAGAAACCTCAGGTGTGAAATAATACCACACATTTTATTAAAAAACAAAACTCAGAAACTGTGCTTTTGACCTCATGAGTTAAATAGACTAGTGGTTTTTCCATATTTCAGTAGGAATTCTAATTATGTTCTTGCTAGCATGTACTGATTAAAGTCAAGGAAAAGCCTAGACCCGAAGGTGATTTTAGAAATAATGAAAGGAGCTGATGAAGAATTTAAATTATCATTTTTTATATAACTATGTAACATATACAAATGATGAGTAAGTCTTTACACGTATTACTGTTTTACCTGTTACATAAAAACTAGTTCTGTTTTTTTCTCTTTCTCCTTACTCTCCCTCCTTCCTTTCCTTTCTTTCTATTGTTTTGTTTTGTTTTAATAAAAATGAGAATATTATATGGTGTTTCTGTCTCTTGCCAAAAAGCATGTAGTTTTGTGTTACTGGGTGGAATCTCACAGGATAAGGATATACATTAATATATTTATTTTACTGTATTTTGAAATCTCTTTAGTTTACGGAGAACTGTGGAAGACAGGAATGTTTGAACGCATGTCTCTGCAGACAGATGAAGATGAACACAGTATTGAAATGCATTTGCCTTATACAGCTAAAGCCATGGAAAGGTATATTGATTGATATAAGAAATCCCCAGGAAATCATAGACATTAATTTCTTTGGTAATTTAAAACTAGTAAATCCTAGTAATTATCAGGGTAAGGAGATTAAGATGTGAGATAAAAAATTGAGACAAGAATGTCTTAAGGTGGATTGTTGGTTTTGAATAGTTTGCCTATGAAGGCTGAACATACGAATTGACATGATGGTTTTATTAGGTGGAAGTATTAAAAAACCCATGGGTATGTGAGTGTATGTGGGTATGTATATATCTTGCTTTGCTTGTATTTTATTCATTAGACATTTCTTTATCTCAGAATAATAATTACATTCTTTTATGGTACAATGCTATAATTAATCGTAAAATTTTAGGCTTGTATTTAATGTTGGAGGTCATTTATTTCAACCTTGTGCAAGGTACATGAATCTCTTTTATGGTATGCTCGACAGACTGTTACGTGGTACCTGCTAAAGGTCTTCCTGTGATGGGCTACTCACTGTACTGTGAGCCGAACGAGGACAGGGACAATATCTATTTTGTTCTCTACTGTATACCCCACCGCCTAGCACAGTGTCCAGCACATAGTAGTTATTATGTATTTTGATAAAATAAAAAAATTATTTCAAGGGTTTTCTTCTTTTAGTGAAACATTTGGATTAGGAGGTCTTCTCTTTTGTAGGTTTCTCTAATTTTTAAAACCATTTCCTATATATGGACTTAATATTTCATATTTAGTTTGGCAGTTCTAAGTATGGTAAGATGATTCCTTCTGGATTTGTTCATTATATTAGTAAAGTACATGATGCTCTGTACGCTCTCAGTAAATATTAATTAAATGTACTAATAAAGTCTAAGATAACATTATATTTTTTATGTTGATGTAGCTTACTGTTGGCAAATGTACTTGTGATCAGCCAAAGCCCAAGGCCTTTTCATAATATTCAGATGGATTATTTTCTGTTCTCAGACTTTTGTGTGGTTATTTCTTTTTTACCCTAAATATGTATGTCTTCTCAATTATTGCTGTTTAGTTTTTCTTGTTTAGTTCATTATCGCAGTCTTTTTGGATTGTTTTCCACTCTAATTCTGTATTCAAAGTATTATTTACTTTTCTCAATCTTTTGTCTGCTTCTGCTCACAATGATAACCATGAGGAATTATATAAATCTGAAGAATTTTCAAAAAATCAGTGTGATACTACATTATAAGCAATATAATTTTAGGGTTTTTAATACATCCTAATTCTTCAGAAATGTGAAACCATATATATTACTTCTTGAATTGTTGTTGTAATCAGAACTTTCTCTTCTTCAACCGGAAAAGACAATTGAATATTGTTATTCACTGAGATGTTTGCATATTTTGTCATGAGAAAATATAATTTAGACTTAATAAATACTAATACTTTGGGTGCAGTGGTGCTTGTCTGTAATTCCAGCACTTTGGGAGGCGGAGGTGGGCACATGGCTTGAGCCCAGAAGTTCAAGACTAGCCTGGGCAATGTGGCAAAACTCTGTCTCTACTAAAAATAGAAAAATTAGCGGTGTGTGGTGTCGGGTGCTTGTTGTCCCAGCTACTTGGGAGGCTGGGGTGGGATGATTGCTTGAGCCTGGGTGGTTGAGACTGCAGTGAGCCGAGATTATGGCACTGCACTCCAGCCTAGGTGACAGAGTGAGAACCTGTCTCAAACAAACAAACAAACCCAAAAAACAATAAGACCAATAAACTGACAACAATATCCTCAAGGAGGTTATAACAAAATAACATTTTTATTGTTATTTTAAAAGTAAAACATGTATATTGTGGAACATTTAGGAAAATAGAAACTTAAAAGCCAGCAAACCAAATTCCTATTTATAATTCCCCCTTTTAAATAGTATCAAATAAACTACTGCCACATTACATTAGGGTCCCTAATATTGACCCTTAGATAGTACTTAGTGTCTTTTCTTTGTAGCATTAGTTGGACTCATTACCTATGTCAGTTATTTATTACTAAGTAACAAAACCTCTTACTTAAAATTACCTATATTAGTTATCTTTTACTAAGTAAAAGTAACTTAGTAAAACTTAGATTTAAACTGTGACTTAAAATCACAGCTGTTTATTGCCTAAAATTTGGGGGCCAGGAATTGGGGCAGAGAACACCTTGCTCCGGTCCACAAGACACTGACTTAGGTGGCTCAAATGGGGCTACAGTATCTCAGATAGCATCACTCCTGTGTCTTGGGCCTTAGTGCTGGCTCTCTGTTGAGACCCCTCATTTCTTCTCCAGCTGACCTGTTTGTTCTTCAAGTAGGACTTTTTTTTTCTTTCTTTTTTTTGCTACTCTCTAGAAGAATAGCTTAGACTTCTTCTTCTTTTTTTTTCCCCCTTCTGTTTTTGGATCAAGAGAGTAAAACCAGAAGTTTCTAGGCCTATTATGTCCTAGGCTGGAAACTACATAGCACATTTCCAGTGAATTGTGTTTTCCAAAGCAAATAAGATCACTGTGTCAGCCAAGATTTAAGGAAAAAAGCAATATATTGCTCCTCTTGATGGGAGGAGTAGCATGTATATACAGGAATAAGAGAAACTGTTGACAGCCGTCTTTGCTGATAGTCTACTACAGTTCTTCCTCTGGTGGACAATTCATGTCTCTTTAACATGTCATATACACCCAGCCCTCCCAGGATGTTCAGAAATCTTACTTGCTATGACCCTAGGCTCAAAATCTATTATCTTGTGATCTCCATCAAGTTAGGATGTGAATGAGGCTCCTTGAGTGTGGTTTCTCTTTTTTTGGAGAAGTGGGTGTTGGGGGAAAGAGTCTCAGCTCTGTTGCCCAGGCTGGAGTGCAGTGGCATGATCATGGCTCACTGTAGCCTCTGCCTCCTGGTCTCAAGCAATCTTCCCACCTCAGCCTCCCAAAGCAATGGGATTATAGGCATGAACCACTGTGCCTGGCCTCTTTTTTTTTTTTTTTTTTTTTAAAAAGAGACAGGGTCTCATTCTGTCACCCAGGCTTGAGTGCAGTGGCACAATTATAACTCACTGTAGCCTTGAACTCCTAGGCTCAAGGGATCTTCCTACCTCAGCTTTCAGAGTAGTGGCACTACAGGTATGTACTACCATATCTGGCTAATTTTAAAAACTTTTTTTTTAAGAGACGGGAGCTTACTTTATTCCTCAGGCTGATCTTGACCTCCTGGTCTCAAGTGAGCTTCTTACTTCAGCCTCCCAAGTAATGTCTTAGTTACCTATTGCAGCATAACAAATCACCTCAATGTATGCATTTTTTTTAATTGAAAACAAATTTTTTAATTTTTGTGGGTGCATGGTGTATATATGGGGTACATGAGAAGTTTTGATACGGTCATGCAGTGTAAAATAATCACATCATGGAGAATGGGATATTAATCACTTCAAGCATTTATCTTTAGTGTTCCAGACAATCCAGTTATATTCTTTTAGTTACTTAAAAATGTACAATTGAGTTATTGACTATAGTCACCCTGTTGTGCTACCAAATACTAGTTCTTACTCATTTTGTTTTGTATCCATTAACCATCCCCACCTACCCTTTAGCCCTCCACTATTCTTCCCAGCCTCTGGTAATCATCCTTCTACTCTCCACGTCTGTGAATTCAGTTGCTTTGATTTTTAGGTCCCACAAATGTGTATTTTTTTCACTTACGATTCTATAGTTTGGAAATTTGGTAGGGTCAGTGGAGATAATTTGTCTCTGTTTCATCTGCTGCCAATTGAGGCAGTTTGACTTAGGCTAAAGACTCCAAGATGCCCTAGCTTCCTCTCTGGGGCCGTGGTGCTGGTTGTCTTCTTGAGGCACATCAGTTTTCATCTTGGTTCTCGTCTATCTCTGCCTGTTGACACTCACCCTTCAGGACTTCTCTCTTCACGTGGTGAATCCTCTCTAGCAGGATAGCAATTGAGCAAAAGTAGAAATTTCCAGCCCTCTTAATATCGAAGTCTAGAACTGGCACAGCATCACTTATGCCTCATTCTACTGGTCAAACCGCATCATAAGGCTAAATTCAAGGAGAGGGAACTAGGGATGCTATTTTTGATGGGAGGAGTGACATTGAGCATTGAGAGGTGGGAAGAATTTTTGGTGATTGGATTTGTAGAAACTGTGGTTAAATAGTTGACGGATTATTTGTATATAAGTCTGTGTCCCTTCCATGGTAGTTCCATAATGTTTTCTGCCTGGAGCAACTAGTCTTGACCGTATCTGCTATGCATAGCACAGTACCTGGTACACAAAAAGATTTCAGTAATTGATTGTTGAATGAATTAATAACTGTCTTGCCATTTTCAGTACTTTAATTATTTTTCCAAAAAGTGGATCAAATGTTCTTTTTTTAAAAAAAAATTACATGTTTTTTTAATTTTCAAAAAATAAAAAAAAAAAAAAACTCTTAATCATCTTTGGCTACAAATACTCTTGTTTTAAACTGCTTTTCTTGTCATGAACTCATTTCCCTGTCATTTTTTTACTCCACTTTATAGGCTATACCTGAGACTTTCTAGTAAAGATCCTTGTAATGCTTTAATCAGTTCTTGACCATTTAGCTTTTAAGCTTCCCCCCATTTTTCACTATTATAAACCACATTTTGTATTTTTTAAAAAATAGATGTCTAAGGTATTATTTAAATTTCTGCTTTTTTTTTTTTTTTTTTTTTTGAGACGGAGTCTCGCTCTGTCACCAGGCTGGATCATGGCTCACTGCATCCTCCGCCTCCTGGGTCAAGTGATTCTCCTGCCTCAGCCTCCCGAGTAGTTGGGATTACAGGCACCTGCCACCATGCCCAGCTAATTTTTGTATTTTTAGTAGACCTTGTTGGCCAGAATGGTCTCCATCTCTTGACCTCGTGATCCGCCCGCCTTGGCCTCCCAAGGTGCTGGGATTAGAGGCATGAGCCACCATGCCTGGCTGCATGTTTTTAATAGATTTAAAAATTGTATTCATTAGAGCTTTTTAAAAAAATAGTAGTCTAAAGGAGAAAACATAAAATGACTTACAATCTCATTGCTCAGTTAACTCTACTGACATAAAAAATATACGTGCATGGTTAGAAAATGTAAATAGAGTCAAGAAGTACAAAATGAATGGTGGAAGATTCTGGTTCTACTCAGCCAGTGTTTACTGCCAGTAAAGGTTTTTATGCATACACTAACATATATTTTTGCATATGTAAGTTTGTGTATATATGTAAAATTTATACATACACGTTTATGTTTGAGTTAAAATATATAAACAAGAGATCATATCTTATACACTTTGTTCTGTTTTTTTGCATATATTAAAAAGTTTTTTTCTTATGATTACTTTCTTTTGTATGTCACCATATATTATCTTTAATATTGAAATGCATAATAAATTTTACTATTATAATTGCTTTTTTTTTTTTTTTTTTTGAGACAGAGTTTCATTCTTGTCCCCCAGGCTGGAGTGCAATGGCATGATCTCAGCTCACTGCAACCTCCGCCTCCTGGGTTCAGGTGATTCTCCTGCCTCAGCCTCCTGAGTGGCTGGGATTACAGGCAAGTGCCACCATGCCCAGCTAATTTTTGTAATTCTTTTTTTTCTTGAGGCGGAGTCTTGCTCTGTTGCCCAGGCTAGAGTGCAGTGGCATGGCACAACCTTGGCCTGCTGCAACCCCCACCTCCCAGGTTCAAGCGATTCTCCTGCCTCAGCCTCCCAAGTAGCTGGGATTACAGGCGCCCACCACCACGCCAGCTAATTTTTTTGTATTTTTAGTAGAGACAGGGTTTCACCCTGTTGACCAGGCTGGTCTTGAACTCCTGACCTCAAGTGATCCACCCGCCCTCGGCCTCCCAAAGTGCTAGGGTTATAGGTGTGACCCACCGCTCCCAGCCTATAATTGCTTTTTATAATTGCTCTTGAGGGAGGTTCAATTCAGATTCAGTTAGGATATATAGAAATCATGTAGAAAAAATTAGTATCTTCCAAAATTAACAGCATTAGGCTGGGTGTGGTTGCTCATGAGGCCTGTAATCCCAGCACTTTGGGAGGCTAAGGCAGGAGGATTTCTTGAACCCAGGAGTTCGAGACCAGCCTGGGCAACAAAGTGAGTCCCCTTTCTCCAAAAAGTAAAAAAAAATAACTGGATGAGGTGGTGCACACCTGTGGTCCCAGCTACTTGGGAGGCTGAGGTGGGAGGATTACTTCAGCCTGGAAGGTCTAGTTATGTTCATCTGTTATGTTTATCCATATTGATGATATTTTTGAGTTCCCTAAGTGAGAATGCTACATTAGATGCTTTTATATGGCATTAAATACTACTCCTACCTAAGCGGTTTTTCCTGTTCTTAACATCTTGAATTAGTATGGTACATTTGTTACAACTGATGAACCAATATCGATACATTATTATATTAACTAAAGTCTATAGTTTAATTAGGATTCACTCTTTGTGTTGGATAGTCTTACGGTTTTTACCAAATGCCTATTATGTCTCTGTTGTTATAATACCATACAGAATGGTTTCAGTGCCCTAAAAATCAGTGCTTCACCTATTCATCGCCTTCTTCTCCCCTCTCCCTGAGTGCCTAGTAACCACTGATCAGTTTACTGTCTCAGTAGATTTGCCTTTTCTTGAATGTCCTACAGTTGGGAATCATGCAGTATATAGCCTTTCAAATTGGCTTTCATTTAACGACATACCTTCAAGATTCCTCCATGTCTTTTTAGAGCTTGGTAACTTCTCTTTATCACTGAATAGTATTTCATTTTTTGTTTCATTTTGTGGATGTACCATAGTTTGCTTATCCATTCCACCTCCTGAAGGATTGTTGCTATATTTAATTAATATCTACCTTACTTACTATCCTTTTCTAATCATTGCCAATCTTCTCCCCCTTTTTTTTTGTCTTCCACTTTTTTCCTGCCTTCTCTGGTTTTAATTGTGTGTTTTATATGACTATAATTTTTTCCTCTCATCATATCATTTATACATATATATGTTTATATTGTTTTTATTACTGTCTTTTAGTTTTTGCAGCATACATTTACAACTAATTTACAACTTTCTTTATTTTTTATTTTTTTGAGACGGGCTCTTACTCTTATTTAGGCTGGAGTGCAGGGGTGCACAATCTTGGCTTACTGCCACTTCCACCTCCTGGGCTGAAGGGATCCTCCCACCTCAGCCTCTCGAGTAGCTGGGACTACAGACATGCACCACCATGCCTGGCTAATTTTTAAATTTTTTGTAGAGACAGGGTCTCACTATCCTGCCCAGGCTGGTCTTGAACTCATGGGCTCAAGTGATCCTCCTGTCTTGTCCTCCCAAAGTACAGGATTACAGGCAGGAGCCACTGCACCCGGCTAACAACTTTCAAATAACACTATACTGCTTCATGGGTAGTAGAAGCATCATGTGAGGGTCTTTCTAATTTCTCCCTCCTGTCCCTTATGACATTACTGTCATTTGTTTCACTTATCCATAAGCTATAATCACCAAATACATTGCTGCTTTTATTAATTTGAACAAATTATTTGTTAGATCAATTAAGAATAAGAAAAAAATGAAATAAAATATTTTATTTTACCCTCATTTGTTCTTTCTCTAATGTACTTGCTTGCTTGCTTTATGTAGATATAGTTTTCTGACCTATATCCTTACTCTTCTCTGAGGGACTTCTTTTAACATTTCTTGCAAGGCAGATCTAATGTCTAAATTGACAAACTCCCTCAATTTTTGTTAGACTAACAAAAGCTTTATTTCTTCTTTAATTTTGAAAGAAATTTTTCCTGGATATAGAATTCTAAATTAGTGGGTTTTTTTCTTTCGCTATCAGCACTTTATTTTATCACTTCTTGCACGGTTTCTGAAGAGAAATCTTACATAATTCTTATCATTTTTATGTTTCTTATCATTTTTATCCATGTTTGTCTATTGATAAAGTGTTTTTGTCCTCTGGTTTCTTTCAAGATCTTTTGTTTGTCTTTGGTTTTTTGCAGTTTTAATATAATATACCTAAGTGTCAATTTCTTGGTATTTATCCTTCTTGGAGTTCTCTGAGCTTCCTGGATTTGTGGTTTGGTGTCTGTCATTAATTTTGGAAACTTCTCAGTAATTACTGTATTTCTTTCTCTCCTTCTGCTATTCCCATTTTATATGTGTTATACCTTTTATAAATTTTAGGATTTAAAAAAATTTCTTTGAAGAATGTCATTGGTATTTTGATAGGGGTTTCATTAAATATTTAAATTGTGTTGGGTAGTATGGACATTTAAACAATATTAATTCTTCCAATCCATGAACATGGGATATCTATCCAGTTTTTTATGTCCTCTTCAATTCCTTTCATCAGTGTTTCAAAATTTTCCTGGTATAGCTCTTACACTTCTTTGGTTAAATTTATTCCTAGGTATTTTGTTTTGTTTTTGGTAGTTATTGTAAATGGGATTGCTTTCTTGATTTCTTTTTCAGTTTGATTGCTGTTTGTATATAGAAATGCTACTGATTTTTCTGTGTTGATTTTGTATCCTGCAGCTTTACTGATTTTGTTTATCAGATCTTAGGGTTTTTGGTGGAGACTTCAGGTTTTTCTAAATATAAGACCATGTCACCTGCAAACAAGGATAATTTGACTTTTTCCTTTACATTTGGATGCCCTTTATTTCTTCTCTTGACTAATTGTTCTGGCTAGGTCTTCCAGTACTATGTTGAATTGAAGTGGTGAAAGTGGGCATCCTTATCTTGTTCCAGATCTTAGTGGAAAGGCTTTCAGTTTTTCCCTGTTCATTGTGATATTAGCTGTGGGTTTGTCATATGTGGTCTTTATCATGTTGAAGTATGTTCCTTCTACACCCAATTTGTTAAGAGGCTTGTTAGATGAGGTCCAAGTCCTGCATTTCTTTCAGTTACTTTCCCCTGTTATTACACAGGTGCCCTGTTGATGTAGTGGTAAGATGAGGAGAGGAGACACATTCTATAATTCTGTGATCAGTTGTAATTCTTTTGGTGAGCCTGTGCCACTGGTCTGTGACTTAAGAAGTTCTTCTCAGATTTTCTCCCACTTTAGGTCAGACAAGAAGGCTGGAGGGGGCTGGATTTGGGTATTACTTTTACTCCAAGTCTGTTAAACTCTTGTAAGGCCCAATTTTGTTAGGCTCTGGTAAAATAGTTTCTCTTGCAGTTAGGCATTTTTGTAAAGAGAACAGAATACTCAGTGAAGTGGGTATTTGTTGGGGCCCTTGGAAGTAAAACTTTCATAAAGCCTTCTACAGCTTGATTCCTTGGCTCTCAGGAGTTTGTATCTCTCAGGGTAGTCCACATTTAGTCTCCAGCAATTAGTTCATTACCCTTTAAGTATTCCTGCTAGCTCCAAGGGTGGTTTAGGATTCTCTGATTCTGTCCATACTTCCAGTTTTTGGGGCATTGGTTTGCTCTGTCACCTCAATTCTCAGATAGATCTGATAAGAGTTATTGGTTTTTAATTCACGTTTTTTTTTTCCTGTCAGGATAAGAGTAATACCTTCTAAAATCTTTACATGTTAGGTTAGAAACTGGAAATCTCTTTCATTGTTTTTTTTACTCTCACCATATGGGAGGAAGTCTGAAGTTTCCTGAAATCTTAACTAGCACCTGTTTATATCACTACCTGTTTTCATTCTTAAGGAAGATTCAGTGCATTCTGTAGACAGTCACTTTAAGCACTGTGTGGGTAGGACTGGAGTTAGGAAGAGAGGGTCAAGGGTCAAGAATGTTTAGGAAAAAAAGGTAGACATTTACAAATCTGAGCTTCTTTCATTTTTTTAAAGAAAACTCCTCTAAATGAATTATTGAATGACCCAAGTACCATGTAAAGGAATTATACCAGTTTATAGCTCTAATTTCACTATTTAAAATTTGCTATTTTGTGGTGGTTGTAAAAAGAATTTTTTTTACCATTTAACTTTACCACCTTCTGAAGAATACACAGAATAAGAGACTCTTTTCTGATGTCTCTCTTAACCACAGATTAAGAATAATGCATTTTATATGTGGGAGTAAATAAATAAGTTAATGAAACTCATTTTGGCTTCCAAATGGTAATTTTTCATCTTTTCTGTTTTGCTAGTTGTACTAGTTGTGTGTATGTGTGTGTGTGTGTGTGTGTGTGTGTGTGTGTGTTTAAGACACGGTCTTGCTCCTGCTGGAGTACAGTGATGTGATCTCGGTTCACCACAACTTCCACCTCCCGTGCTCAAGTGATCTTCCTACCTCAGCGTTCCAAATAGCTGGGAACACAGATGCACAACACCACACCTGGCTAATTTTTGTATTTTTTGTAGAGGGGGTTTCGCCATGTTGCCCAGGCTGATCTTGAACTCCTGGGCTCAAGTGATCTGCCTGCCTCAGCCTCCTGAAGTGCTGGGATTACAGGTGTGAGCCACTGTGCCCGGACTTACTAGTTATGTTTTATAAAAATTGGGTTGTTTTTAAGATAACATTTACTGTCAACATTTTAAGATTTTTAAAATTTTGGTTAAATTGAATTTTTCAAATATAGTAGATGTACCTAATTGTACTAATCTATGTTTAAGGATGGAGAATACAAAAATAAGGAAACACCCTATTTGTTTTCTCATCTTGTAGCCTTGTAGAAGAGATAAGAAATGAATATAAATGATTATAATATAATTCAAAATGTACTAAGTATAATTAAAGAGTTACAGGAGCAGAGAGTAGGGATTTGGGAGGAAAGAGGTAATAGTTGAGTTAGGGAAGCACAGAAAGGGCTTCATTAAGGGGGTGGCATTTGAATGGATTTTGAAGGTGCCTGCAGTTTTCATGGGATTAGGCATAAGGTTTTAATGAGAAAGGGAGTTATGTACACACAAAGTATTTAGTAGTAGGAAAGCCCAGAGCTTATTTTTAATAGCAGGAAACTATTTGGCTTAACTTGCAGGAGTTGTAAAAGGCTTGGCTAGTAACTGAGATCTGTTTGTAGATGTTTTTTGTCTGGGTTGCATAGTTAGAAAAAAATTTTTTTATACAGATATTTATAGCTAGATATTGGTCCTACCATTCCCTATTATCTTACACCTTGTCTACCTTTTCACACATACGTAACACCACCCTGGGGCTGGAGGCATTTGAGTAGCTGACTTATAGAGATACAGTATAAGAGGGGCAGAATTAGAGAACTGGAAAATAGATTGGAACCAGATTATGGAGGGAATTGAATGCCGTTGTAAAATACTTGTATTTTATTCTGTGACTGGTACAGAGCTAATAAAAGTTCTTAGCAAAGGAAGGAGTGATGATTGGGACTGAAGAAGAATAGCACTCCTAGGCTGGGTGCGATGGCTAACACCTGTAATCTCAGCACTTTGGGAGGCCAAGGTGGGCGGATCATGAGGTCAGGAGTTCAAGACCATCCTGGCCAACATGGTGAAACCCCATCTGTACTAAAGATACAAAAAATTAGCCAGGCTTGGTGGCGTGTGCCTGTAATCCAAGCTACTTGGGAGGTTGAGAAAGGAGAATCGCTTGAACTTGGGAGGCGGAGGTTGCAGTGAGCCAAGATTGCGCCATTGCACTCCAGCCTGGGCGACAGGGCGAGACTCTATCTCAAAAAAAACAAAAACAAAAACAAACAAACAAACAAAAAAAACAAAAACAAAAACAAAAGAATAGCACTCCTTGGCCGGGTGCGGTGGCTCACGCCGGTAATCCCAGCACTTTGGGAGGTTGAGGCGGGTGGATCACGAGGTCAGGAGTTCGAGACAAGTCTGGCCAACATAGTAAAACCCCATCTCTACTAAAGATACAAAAAAATTAGCCAGGTGTGGGTGTGTGCCTGTATCCCAGCTACTCGGGAGGCTGAGGCAGGAGAATTGTGTGAACCCAGGAGGCAGAGGTTGCAGTGCCCGAGATTGCGCCATTGCACTCCAGCCCAGGCGACAGTGTGAGTGAGACTCCGTCTCAAAAAAAAAAAATAAAGAAAAAAAGAATAGCTCTCCTTGATGGTGTGATGGCAATATGAAGGATGGATTGGAGTTGGAAGAAATAAATAGAAATAGTGTAGTAAAAAAATCATGGGGGCTTTGAACCAAGGCAGTGACAGGTGGGGTAACAAACTGAACAGATGTGGGAGATGTTTAAGGGTTAGAATCATGAGGATTCTACACAGAATTCTATGCAGATAGAAATGTTCCTATGTGAGACAGTTAAGATGAATTGAAGAGAATATGAAGTTCAAGGCCTTATAATATTGCCATTATCAGAAATGGTAAAGCCAGAAAAGAGTGTAAGTTTAAGAGAATGTAGGGTATGGAAATGTTGACTTGTTTTTAAAAACATGCAGGAATTTCTCTATGATTCTGACAGCAAACTTGGCCAGTTTATAAGATTGTGTTGCTTCATAGTAGCTTCAAATGGTTGAGTTTTAAAAATAGAGTTTAGAATGGCTCTCTAGTACCTGAAGTATGCCCTTTCTTAGAAAAACTTTCTTATCATCATGCCTATTTAAATGGAAATTTGGAAAGATTTAAAAATTAATTTTGGGAATCTCATTGCATTCATTTAACTGATCAAACAGTAAAGATTTATAATGACTTAAATGTTAATTTTAGTTCAGTCATTGACAGCTAGCTTACCCTTCTTCTTCCCCTATCCTCTACTTTTTTCCCCAGTTCTTTGCCTCTGATGTTTTCTGGATCTTTTTTTGTTTCTTTTTTGGAGATAGGATTTCACTCTGTTACCCAGGCTGGAGTCCAGTGGCATGCTTACAGCTCACCACAGCCTCCACCTCCCAGGCTCAAGCGATCCTCCCACCTCAGCCTCCCAAATAGCTGGGACTGCAGGTGTGCACCCCCACCCCTGGCCAATTTTTATATTTTTTGTAGAGATGGGGTTTCACCATGTTGCCCAGGCTTTTCTTGAACTCCTGGGCTCAAGGAATCTGCCCACCTTGGCCTCCCGAAGTGCTGGGATTACAGGCATGAGCCATTGCGCCCAGCCTGTTTTCTGGATCTCTGTAGTTTATTTTTTCTTACATGAATCACAGTATTCTGCTTAAATTCTATATGCATGTCTCTTTGGTCTGAAAGTGAATTTGATCAAGAGAAAAAGATGAGAGTTCTTCCTTATAGGACTCTTTAAAACTGCAGTGATGATTCTTTTATATCACTTTGCCTTTAACACCTGTTTGAAACTTTCATGACCACCCTCACATTTGGCGATTCTCTAGAGCAGGGGTCCTCAGCTGGTCCGTGGCCTGTTAGGAACTGGACTGTGCAACAGGATGCGAACGGTGGGCCAGCGAGCATTACCCACCTGAGTTCCGCCTCCTGTGAGATCAGTGGCAGCATTAGGTTGTCATAGGAGTGTGAACCCTATTGTGAACTGCACATGTGAGGGATCTAGGTTGCGTGCTCTAGAATCCAGTTACAGGTGTGTACTGTTCTCCCTTATGTGGAGGTGGGCTGCATAGAAAGTACATAGTATTTCTGCCCAAAGAAGGCTGCTTTAACATTTAAAATCCAGGATTTTTATTGGGGACTGGTCATGTAGGCATTCTGCCTGTGTAGCTAGCCACAGCTACCAAAATTCCAGGCTCTCAGAAGGAAAGTGTTTACTGTATGTAATCACATTGTTTACAAACAATCTCAGCAAGCTGGTATAGCAGAATTCAGTGTCCCAAGTGGGTAAAACAGCCTTATCAACATAAGTAATATTCTAAAAACCAAATTCACAGATGCTAACCAAGGACCAGTCTTACAAACAGGCCCTTCTAAAGATTGTAGCATCAGGCCTAGCTATGTTAACTCTCAGGTAAAGCTCCTATGCCTCTTTCCCAGTTACAGGCTACCATATTGCCATTCTGTATTTTTGACTCTCTGAAATGCCATCTTAACCTTTATTATAGCTTAGGTTTCACTGGATCTTAAGATTTTTACTTTCCTTTCTGATTGTGGCCTCAATGAAGGTCTTCAAATGTTAGAAATAGAGAAAAGTAGATGTGCTTTTATATAGGTAGTCTTTAAGGAATGGAATGGCTTCTCTCTGGACGTAGAATAAAAAGAAGCCAGAGATTCTCTTCCTCTGCCCAGTTTAATGACAGTCACAGAGCAGTGGCATTTTTCAAATGTTTTCTTTTTCTGTGACTTTTATATTTACAGTTATTTGTATATTTCTGCATATGTCTTACAGTTAAATTTTTTTATTTTTGGTTTTAGAGCATTTACTGAGGTTTTTAGAGCAAATGTAACTTTATGTTTCTCAGTTTCCTCTTTTTCTGTATGTTGATTCCCTTTGAGTATTACCATATCTCCTATCAGCAAGAGCATTTTTAAGACGTATAGAACATGAGTGAGCTCCAGAATAATAGCAAATCATTCTTTGTTGGTGGTAATGGAATAGTTTCAGTTTCTATGACCACGAAAAGCCTAAAGAGGAGGTAGCAAAAGACATTTGAGAAGATTAGAATATATTTTATCAGCGTAAAGATTTTTTATATTTACCCACATAACTTTTTGTCCCCCCCCACCCCCCTGTTTTTTTCTGTGAGTATTTTCAAACTGAAAGGGGAGAGGAGAATAAATCACAGTGGTATTACTATGACAACAACCTTGGCACCTTAGGGGTAAGGATCCTGTCCCTTCTGACTGGCTAACTGTAGTTGTTGTTACAGTTGGTTTAATTCTCCTCACATCTTAAGATACTGGGACTGCTTCTAGACTCATTAGGAAACTGGAAGAATTTGTATAGGAAGGAAAATTTGCATATTCGTCAATGTTATACAGAGGAGAAATGTTCAAATTAATGGCAGGGGAAGATTAAGCAAATAAGTATTTGTATATTTCATAAATATGTAAATATTTAATTTGTATATTTCATAAATTTGTTAATATTTAAACAAATTTAAAATTTTAAGATTTTAATTATTTATATACCACAAATTAATAAACCACTTTCAATTAAATTATAATGTTTTCTTATCGCGTGTATTTTTTTATTAGAATTCATCTTTTTATGTTAGAATTAGAATTTAGAATTTTCATAGTCTGTTTTAGTAAGAGCATTGGTAATACAGTGTTTCTGTTTTTGTTTTAAAGTGAGGGGCTCCAGGAGTTTGAGGCTGCAGTGAGCTGTGATGGCACCAATGCACTCCAGCCTGGGTGACAGAGCAAGATCCTGTGTCTAAACAAAAAAAAACAAAACAAACAAACAAACAAAATGTGAGGGGGAGGTTCTTGGATTTCAGCTCTTTTATCTTGGATTGATACATTTCCTGCAGCATGGTTTAAGCTATAAGACAAAAAAAGAAGGGCTAAAAGATTCCTCTGTGTTACTAAAGAATTAGCAAGAACCTGGTGAGGTATTATTAACTGTTTTTTCTGTTTTTTTCAGATGGCAAAATTGAGGCTTAGGATAGTAATCTGCTGTAGGTAGCAGCTTGTGAGTGGCAGGGATGGATTTTCTTTTTTTTCTTCTGCAACAGCTTTATTGAGGTATGATTTATACACTAAAATTCACTCATGTAAGAGTTCAATGATTTAACTTTTTTTTTTTTGAGGCAGAGTCTTGCTCTGTTGCCTACGCTGGAGTGCAGTGGCATGATCTCGGCTCAGCGCAACCTCCACCTCCCAGGTTCAAATGATTCTCGTGCCTCAGCCTCCTTAGTAGCTGGGATTACAGGTGCACATCACTATTTTTAGTAGAGGTGGGGTTTCACCATGTGAGCCAGGCTGGTCTCTAACTCCTGGCCTTAAGTGATCCGCCCTCCTCTGCCTCCCAAAGTGCTGGGATTACAGGTGTGAGCCAGCACACCTGGTCTAAAAAAATTTGTTTTTAAGATTAGGGGTCTTGCTATGTTGTCCAGGCTGGAGTTGAACTCCTGAACTCCTGGGCTCAAAGTATCCTCCCACCTCAGCTTCCCGAGTAGCTGGGACTTACAAGCATCTGCTACAGCACCAGGTCTCAACTCAATGTTTTTTTTTAGTAAATCTACAGAGTTGTGTAAATATTCTCACAATCTAGTTTTAGAACTTTTTTTTTTTTTGAGATGAAGTCTTGCTCTGTCACCCAGGCTGGAGTGCAGTGGTGTAATCTTGGCTCACTGCAACCTCTACCTTCCTGGTTCAAGCAATTCCCCTGCCTCCGCCTCCTGAGTAACTGGGATTACAGGTGCACGCCACCACGCCCAGCTAATTTTTTTGTATTTTTAGTAGAGACGGGGTTTCACCATGTTGGCCAGACTGGTCCCAAAGTCCTGACCTCAGGCAATCTGCCCGCCTCAGCCTCCCAAAGTGTTGAGATTACAGGCGTGAGCCACCATGCCTGGCCAGAACATGTTTTCATCACCCTAAAAAGAAACCTGGTGTTCATTTGAGGTCAATCCTTGTTCTTACTCTCAGTCTCAGACAACCACTGATTTGCTTTCTGTTTCTAGATTTGCATTTTGTGGAAATTTCATATAAATGGAATTGTACAAAATGTAGTCTATTTTTCACTTAGGATACTGTTTTTGAGATTCATCCCTGTTGTCGCATGTCTTGGTAGTTAATTCTTTTTTTTTTTTTTTTTTTTTTTTTTTGTGAGACAGAGTCTCACTCTTTCGCTCAGGCTGGAGTGCAGTGGCGTGATCTTGGCTCACTGCAACCTCCACCTCCCAGGTTCAAGCGATTCTTCTGCCTCCGCCTCCCAAGTAGCTGGGACGACAAGCGTGTGCCACCACACCCGGCTAATTTTTGTGTTTTTAGTAGAGACAGGGTTTCGCCATGTTGGTCAGGTTGGTCTCGAACTCCTGAGCTCAAAGTGATCTGCCCATCTTGGCTTCCCAGAGTGTTAGGGTTATAGGCATGAGCCACCACGCCCAGCTCATTCTTTTTTATTGCCAAATAATTATTCCATTATATGAATATACCACATTTTGTCCATTTACCGGTTGATAAACTATTGAACATTTCCAGTTTTTGGCTATTATGAATAATGGTATAAAAATTCTTGTACACATTTTTATGTCAAAGGAAACTGTTGGGTCATATGATAAGCCTATATTTTAATTCTTTCAGAAACTACCAAAGTGTTTTCCAAAGTGACTGTACCATTTTATATTTTAGGAATAGTGCATGAGGCTTGCAGTTTCTTTACATCCTGGCCAATATCTGTTATTGTCAGTATTTTTGATTATAGCCATTCTGATAGACATTTAGTGTAATCTCATTATGCTGTTAATTTGCATCTCCTTAATGACTAATGATGTTGAGCAACTTTTTTTTTTTTTAAATTATTGTACTTTAAGTTCTGGGATACAGTGCAGAACGTGCAGGTTTGTTACATAGTTATACACGTGCCATGGTGGTTTGCTGCACCCATCAGCCCATCATCTACATTAGATATCTCTTCTAATGCTATCCCTCCCCTAGTCCCCCACTCCCCAACAGGCCCCGGTGTGTGATGTTTCCCTCCCTGTGTCCATATGTTCTCACTGTTAAAGCCCCAGTTAATGAGTGAGAACATGCAGTGTTTGGTTTTCTGTTCCTGTGTTAGTTTGCTGACAATGATGGTTTCCGGCTTCATCCATGTCCCTGCAAAGGACATGAACTAATCCTTTTTTATGGCTGCATAGTATTCCATGGTATATAGGTGCCTCATTTTCTTAATCCAGTCTATCATTGATGGACATTTGGGTTGGTTCCAAGTCTTTGCTGCTGTGAACAGTGCTACAATAAACATATGTGTGCATGTGTCTTTATAATAGAATGATTTATAATCCTTTGGGTATATACCCAGTAATGGGATTGCTGGGTCAAATGGTATTTCTAGTTCTAGATCCTTGAGGAATCGCCACACTGTCTTCCGCAATGGTTGAACTAATTTACATTCCCATCAACAGTGTAAAAGCTTTCCTGTTTCTCCACATCCTCTCTAGCATCTGTTGTTTGCTGACTTTTTAATGATTGCCATTCTAACTGGTGTGAGATGGTATCACACTGTGGTTTTGATTTGCATTTCTCTAATGACCAGTGATGATGAGCTTCTTTTCATATATTTGTTGGCTACATAAATGTCTTCTTTTGAGAAGCGTCTGTTCATATCTTTAGCCTACTTTTTGATGGGGTTGTTTTTTTCTTGTAAATTTGTTTAAGTTCTTCGTAGATTCTAGATATTAGCCCTTTGTCAGATGGATAGATTGCAAAAGTTTCTCCCATTCTGTAGGTTGCCTGTTCACTCTGATGGTAGTTTCTTTTGCCGTGAAGAAGCTCTTTAGTTTAATTAGATCTCATTTGTCAATTTTGGCTTCTATTGCTATTGCTTTTGGTGTTTTAGTCATGAAGACTTTGCCCATGCATATGTCCTGAATGGTATAGCCTAGGTTTTCTTCTAGAGTTTTTATGGTTTTAGGTCTTACGTTTAAGTTTTTAATCCATTTAAGTTAATTTTTGTATAAGGTGTAAGGAAGGGGTCCAGTTTCAGTTTTCTGCATATAGCTAGCCAGTTTTCCCAACACCATTTATTAAATAGGGAATCATTTCCCCATTGCTTGTTTTTGTCAGGTTTTTCAAAGATCAGATGGTTGTAGGTGTGTGGCATTATTTCTGAGGCCTCTGTTCTGTTCCATTGGTCTATATATCTGTTTTGGTACCAGTACCATGCTGTTTTGGTTACTGTAGCCTTGTAGTATAGTTTGAAATCAGGTAGCATGATGCTTCCAGCTTTGTTCTTTTTACTTAGGATTGTCTTGGCTATATGGGCTCTTTTATGGTTCCATATGAAATTTAAAGTAGTTTTTTCTAATTCTGTGAAGAAAGTCAATGGTAGCTTGATGGGAATAGCATTGAATCTATAACTTACTTTGGGCGGTGGGCTGTTTTCACTATATTAATTCTTCCTATCCATGAGCGTGGGATGTTTTTCCATTTGTTTGTGTTCTCTCTTATTCCCTTGTCTCTGATAAAACAGACTTTAAACCAACAAATATGAGAAAAGACAAAGAAGGCCATTACATAATGGTAAAGGGATCAATGCAACAAGAAGAGCTAACTGTCCTAAATATATTTGCACCCAATACAGGAGCACCCAGATTCATAAAGCAAGTTCTTAGAGAACTACAAAGAGACTTAGACTCCCACACAATAATAGCCGGAGACTTACCGCCCCATTATCAATATTAGACAGATCAGTGAGACAGAAAATTAACAAGGATATTCAGGACTTGAACTCAGCTCTGGACCACGCAGACCTAATAGACATCTGGGGAACTCTCTACCCCAAATCAACAGAATATGCCTTCTTCTCAGCAGCACATTGCACTCATTCTAAAATTGACCACATAATTGGAAGTAAAACACTCCTCAGCAACTGCAAAACAACAGAAATCATAACAGTCTCTCAGATCACAGTGCAATCAAATTAGAACTCAGGATTAAGAAACTCACTCAAAACCGCACAACTACATGGAAACTGAACAACCCACTCCTGCATGACTACTGGGTAAATTACGAAATTAAGGCAGAAATAAAGAAGTTCTTTGAAACCAATGAGAACAAAGTCACAATGTACCAGAATCTCTGGGACACAGCTAAAGTAGTGTTTAGAGGGAAATTTATAGCACTAAATGCCCACAGGAGAAAGAGGGAGAGATCTAAAATCGACACCCTAACCTCACAATTAAAAGAACTAGAGAAGCAAGAGGAAACAAATTCAAAAGCTAGCAGAAGACAAGAAATAACTAAGATCAGAGTAGAACTGAAGGAGATAGAGACACGAAAAACCCTTCAAAAAAATCATTGAATCCAGGAGCTGGTTTTTTCAAAAGATTAACGAAACAGATAGACCACTAGCCAGACTAATAAAGAAGAAAAGAGAGAAGAATCAAAGAGACACAGTAAAAAATGATAAAGAGGATATCACCACTGATCCCACAGAAATACAAACTGCCACAGGGAATACTATAAACACCTCTATGCAAATAAACTAGAAAATTTAGAAGAAATGGATAAATTCCTGGACACATACACCCTCCCAAGACTAAACCAGGAAGAAGTCAAATCCCTGAAAAGACCAATAACCAGTTCTAAAATTGAGGGAGTAATTAATAGCCTACCAACCAAAAAGCCCAGGACCAGATGCATTCATAGCTGAATTCTACCAGAGGTACAAAGAGGAGCTGGTACCATTCCTTCTGAAACTTTTCCAAATAATGGAAAAAGAGGGGTTCCTCCCTAACTCGTTTTATGAGGACAGCATCATCCTGATACTAAAACCTGGCAGAGACACAACAAAAAAAGAAAATTTCAGGCCAATATCCCTGATGAATATCAGTGCAAAAATCTGCAATAAAATACTGGCAAACCAAATCCAGCAGCACATCAAAACGCATATCCATCAAGATCAATTTGGCTTCATCCCTGGAATGCAAGGCTGGTTCAACATATACAAATCGATAAATGTAATCCATCATATAAATAGAACCAATGACAAAAACCACATGATTGTCTCAATACATGCAGAAAAGGCCTTTGATAAAATTCAATACCGCTTCATGCTAAAATCTCTCAATAAACTAGATATTGATGGAATGTATCTCATAATAATAAGAGCTATTTATGACAGACCCACAGTCAGTATCATACTGCATGGGCAAAAGCTGGAAACATTCCCTTTGAAAACCAGCACAAGTGTGTCTCCTCTCACCACTCCTATTCAACATAGTATTGGAAATTCTGTCCAGTGCAATAAGGCAAGAGAAAGAAATAAACTGTATTCAAATAGGAAGAGAGGAAGTCAAATTGTCTCTGTTTGCAGATGACATGATTGTATATTTAGAAAATCCCATTGTCTCAGCCTAAAATCTCCTTAAGCTGATAAGCAACTTCAGTGAAGTCTCAGGATACAAAATCAGTGTGCAAAAATCACAAGCATTCCTATACACCAATAGTAGACAAACAGCCAAATCATGAGTGAACTCCCATTCACAATTGCTACAAAGAGAATAAAATACTTAGGAATCCAACTTACGAGGGATGTGAAGGACATCTTCAAGGAGAACTACAAACTGTTGAGCAATTTTTATGTGCTGATTATCCATTTGTATATCTTCTTTTGTGAAATATCTATTCATACATTTTTGCCCAATTTTTATTTTGGTAATTTGTTGTTTTATTGAGTTATAAGAGTATTTATGGAGACAAATTCCTTATTAGATATATGATTTACAAATATCTTCTCCTAATGTATGACTTGAGTTTTCATTTTCTTAATGAAGAGCAGAAGTTTTTCATTTTGTTAAATTCAGTTATCAACTTTTTTTCTTGTATAGATTCTGTTTCTGGTATCAAATTTAAGAAAACTTTGCCTCCTCCAAGGTCATAGAAATTTTTTCCTTTGTTTCGTTCTTGAACAAGAGTCAGCAAATTTTAGCCTGTGAACCCCATCTGGCCCACAGCCTACTTTTGTAAATAAAGTTTTATTTAAACATAGCCATACTTTTGTATTTACATATTGTCTATGCCTGCTTTTTCTCTACCTGAACTGTTGAGCAGTTGCTATACTGTACTGCCCAGAAAACTTGAAATACTTAATGGCCCCTTTCAAAAAATGTTTGCTAACCCCTGTTCTAGAAGTGTTACAGTTTTAGCTCTTATAGTTCTAGGATCCAATTTTAATTAAGTTTTGCATATGGTGTGAAGCAAAGAGACAAGTTCATTATTATTTTTATTTTTATTTTGGTGTATGGATATGCAGTTGTCCTAGTACTATTTGTTAAAAACTCTCCTATATGTTAGAAGTTATTTTCTTCTCGCTGCTTTCACGATTTTTTTCTTGCCAGGCACGGTGGCTCACGCCTGTAATCCCAGCACTTTGGGAGGCTGAGGCGGGCGGATCACGAGGTCAGGAGATCGAGACCATCCTGGCTAACACGGTGAAACCCCGTCTCTACTAAAAATACAAAAAATTAGCTGGGCGAGGTGGCGGGCGCCTGTAGTCCCAGCTACTCGGGAGGCTGAGGCAGGAGAGTGGTGTGAACCCCGGGGGGCGGAGCCTACAGTGAGCTGAGATCTCGCCACTGCACTCCAGCCTGGGCGACAGCGAGACTCCGTCTCAAAAAAAAAAAAAAAAAAAAAAAAAGATTTTTTTCTTGTGTTTTGTTTTCAGCTGTTTGATTATGAAGTATCTGGGTGAGGATCTCTTTGTGCTTATCATACTTTGGATTTGTTGAATTTCTTAGATCTGTAGGTTAATGTTTTTTCATGAGATTTGGAATGTTTTCAGCAGTTATTTCTTGTAATATTTTTACTGTTCCCTTTCTGAAGTTCCCATTATATACATGCTGGTATGCTTGATGTTGTTTACAAGTCTCCAATGCTCTGTTCTTTTTCTCTGTTCTGATTGGTTAATTTCTTTATCTGTAATTTCACAGACTGTTTCCTATATAATATCAAATCTGCTCTTCAGACCATCTGGTGAACTCATTTGAATTTTTTATTTCGGTTACTATTCAACTCTAAAATTTCCACTTGGTTCTTTTTAATAGTTTGCATTTATTTCTTTGTTGATATTCCCTATTTAGTTATATCATCATAACTTTGAGCATGGCTTCCTGTAGTTCTTTGAATATATAATAACTCCTTTGAAGTTTTTGTCTGCTAAATCCAATATCTGCTCTTACTCAGATACAACTTCTGCTGGCTGCTTATTTTTCCCGCCGAATATGGGTCATAGTTTGCTGTTTCTTTGCATGACTTATAATTTCTTTTGGAACTGGACATTTTGTGTAGTATGTTATAGTAACTTTGGATTCGGTTTTTACTCATTTTTTCCCTTGCAGGTTGTATTTATTTATTTATTAGGAACTTTCATGAACTTCAACTGCAGAATCTGTCTCTCCCACTATGTGTGGTCACTTATGTGTCTCCCCAGCTTTTAAAACTTCTTAATTTTTAATTTTAAGCTTGGCTTTGTAGGGTTCCCACCTGCAATTCCTTAATTTAGTGCTTAGCTAATTATTGGTTGAAGGCTGTACCTAAACACCTTGAGCCAGAAAGACTTTCACCCTCTGCTGGGAGATTGTATGGAGGCTGTGAAGGGAGGATCACTTGGGCTCAGAGTTTGAAGCTAGCCTGGGCAGCATAGTGAGACCCCATTTCTCATTAAAAGAAAGAATCAACTAAGTATAGTCTGTTTTCATGTTTGTTTCTTTTACTTTTTATTATGTTGTCTTAGACCTAAGACCCTGTGCACGTACCCAAATTTTCTGTTAGCCAGGCGTGTGTGGAGAGCTAGGTCTCTCAGGTTTCCAGCTTCCCCTGTGCATACGCTGCCAGTCTCTCAGCCTGCGTTTTGTGTGGAGCTTAGGACCTTATGGGAGTCCCCTGTACATGCGTGCAGCCTCCTAGTCAGCCAGTGTTGTGTGGAGGGCATAGGTCTCTCTTCAGGATGTGTGGAAAATTTATCAAGTCTCTCTATGGCTGTGCCATTTCTAGGATCTGTCTATTAAATTTCTAGTTAGTCCTCAGGTTTCTGGCTCACCCCAACAACAGCAATCTCGGACTAAGAAATCTGCAGGCTTTTCTGTTTCCTACTGAGTGTGGGTTTTCCACTCTCTGCTCCAAGTCAAAGTCATCCCCTTTTTGCAATGAAGGTGCTGTTCCTTGATGGAACTTATACCTCAGTGGAGCTAGGGTAGGGGATGGAGGCAGCTCCTGGTAAGATGCCAGGTTTCCATTGTTGTTACCAAGAAGTTCTGTAGTTTTTCATGAACATGCTCTTCTCATTGTTTTTGTTTGTTTGCTTGTTTGTTTTTGCCTTTAGTTGATTTCCATAACACAAAGATGGTTGTTTTTGACGCTTTTATCTAGTTTTATAATTGCTTTTTGGGGGTGAGATTTTGTATTCCTTCACTGGAAGTTCAACTTCAGAACTTGGATTTTAAATCCTAGTAGTATTACATTTCAAAGCTAAATGCTCTTTTCTCTAATTCATGAGTATTTGTCTGTGGAGATAGAGAACAAGTAATTTTTTAAAAGAGAGATGACAGAGGGGTGGATAAATGAGCCTCGATTCAAGTCCTAGGTTTCTACAGAGGATAGAATTTTATACCTCCTTACAGATAGATTTGTAAGCTCAAACTGAGGTTAATTGAAGGGATTAATGGCTCTTGTGGAGAGTAGACATGTGTTGTTTATTCAGAGTGAGCCAACTCTTGTGACGAAGTACCTTTCCTATAGTGTTCTTCACTTCATAACAATTTTATGAAGTAAGTATTGTAATTATGATCATTTTACAGATACGGAAATATATTTACAATTCGGGAACTTACCTATGCTCTGAACATTTGTATGTGGTGGGGATGGCACTTGAACCCATTTCTTCTGGTTTCTCCTTGTTCTTTATACTCTGTATAACTGTTTCCCAATCATATCATAATTACTCACAGACACTTTGATTATCTTAATGTATTTTTTTATGTAGGTAGTAGTTGAGGTTAGAATAATTAATTCTTTTCTTTCAATTGACAATCAGTCTTAACTAATTGAAGAGCCCCTATTCAGTCAGGGAGTTATTTAGCAAACTGGTAACAGTTAGAGAAAGAGATCCTGTGGCAGCTTCCTCTGCCAGCTTCCTTTTTTTCTCTTACTCCATAGATGCAGATTCTGCCCAAGAAGCCCCTGCATTGCAGAGGGACTGGAGATCTGTATGATCTGTTTATTTCGCAATTGACAGGGTAAGGGGGCCTTATGGGGGAGGTGCTTGGGTGCCCTAAATTTAGCTTTATGCAGCTGGGCTAACATTTATTTGGGGATTATTTAAACTTAGTATTTTTAAAAACTTTTGTGAATTTTGTTTGTCCTACATCAGTTAAGTGCCAGATTATCATATTAAAAAGCATTTATTATAATGGTGATTTTTTTAAAAAGGTCCTGTTGAGAACAAATCAGACAAACATGATTCATGCTTCTAAAATACCAAATCTGGGATCATTTAGAATATAAATAATATTGAATATATATAAGTAAAATTTCACAATAACATTTTTAAAAAAGGTTTTGAATGAACATCTGTTTCTATAGCTCATCATAGTTATTCTTTATTAATCTACTTTGTTTCTTTTCCATAAATCTGTCAATCTGTAGAGTGAAAAAGGGACTTGTGGATATGCCATAAACATTGTGGGTGGGTGTGGTGTCTTTTTCTGCTGCTAGAAATTAAAACTTACTTCCTTTAATTCTTTGTCTATTCTAGATGCCAATGAAATTTGAGTTGTATTTCAGACTGTCTTGTATCTGATCATTAGGATAAGTGTAAAAGTGCAGTTGATAAAACTTACGGGAGCCAAGATTAAGTTTTTAGGTCTCACTTGGCAGGTTTATAGAGCAAGTGCCAGAAATGATGGTTTTTATAATAGGATAGGATTAAAATAGGTGAGGAAGAGTTTAATGGTCTTTTATAATCACAGAAGGATTTGGCAGATGACTGTAGCCTTGATAAGTACTTGAAAAGAATTGAATTGGTGCTCTTCTGATGGGCTTGTTTTTATTTTTTGAGATGTTATTATACCTGGTAGTAAAATAGCTTTTTTTACCTAAAGAGGTAGTATATATTTCTGTAGTTTAAATGGATATTTTTAGTATTCTGTATGACTCATATTTTTAATCGTACCCTTGTACCCTTTAAACATTTAATTTATGGATTTTAAGAATTCATCAATAATAATTACATATGTTATCCTTACCACTATTAATACATATTCCACTTTCTAATGCCAACACATTTGGAAAACTTTCATTTAAGCATCTTAAATGACATTTTTTTTTTTTCTGTTTTCTTTAAGCCATAAGGATGAGTTTACCATTATTCCTGTACTGGTTGGAGCTCTGAGTGAGTCAAAAGAACAGGAATTCGGAAAACTCTTCAGTAAATATCTAGCGGATCCTAGTAATCTCTTTGTGGTTTCTTCTGATTTCTGCCATTGGGGTAAGTTCTAGATTTTAACATATCATGGTAGATGTTATATACTTCTGGTTAAAGGTATCTTTTCATTCTAAGCTCTGATTTTCAGTTTTTTATCACTTTCCTTGGAAAGTTTTACTTCTGGCAGCAGTGTTTAAAAGTGAATAAAAAATCTTTTGATCCTTTAAAAAGGATCAGATTACAATAGTGGATTATGGGTACATTTCCAAAGGCGACTGGTATAATTGGATTCACACTGTGAAGGCATCCTTGTTTAGACACTTATTTAGTGGGAGTTAAGATCTTTTAACCTCATTTCCAAGTAGGTGTGTATGGTAGATTCTCTGAAGTTAGTTTTGGTGGATAAATCCAATGTTCTTTAGAGTATAGAAGAGCACTGTGTGCTGTGCCAGTCCTTTTCCACATTTCCTTTTTTGTAATTAGTCTTTTTTTTTTTTCCCCTTTGGTGCTTAGTTTTTACTCACAATTGCCATCAGTTTAAAGCTACCCTCCAAAGATTATAAAATATTGGCTATTAAGCACTGTGGTCATCATTGGTAATGTTTTTATAAGGGTAAGGACTCTTGAGTGATTTTTTGATTATTGTAAGAGCAAGGACACGTCACAGTGAGTACGTTGTAAGAGAAGTGAGCTGTTTGTGGATGCCTCTTTTAGTAAACGTTGCTTCTACAGTCTTTGGATGCAGTTTGCTTTCCTTTATCCATTACTGTCCCAGAATATTTCTAAGTTTTGTTCGTTTTAGGACATCTCTTTGACCTATTAATTTATTGGTTTAAGATGCCAATATCTGTTCATTTATCACTTATTTCTTTGATTATAAGGAAACCTAAAATGTAAGACCATAATTTTTAAGATACAACGCTAGAATAGCCAGGAGAACATCCTTAGTGAAATATAGGGAGCCATGGCATTTTATGTGTCTTACCCACTGATTGCCAGAATTGATTCAACATTTATCTGGCCTGCTTGGGCTGGTGTCTTCTCTTGCTTCTATCTCTGAATGGCCTTTTCAAAGTTGAGATCTCAGTTCAAGAGAACTATCTTTTGTAATGGTACAGATTAGTTTTTTGCATAAGGTACTTAGCCTCAACTGGAGTGATTTTACTCTCAGGGGCATTTGATAATTCCTGAAGACAGTTTTGATCACCACAACTGGGATATGGTTTGGAGGGTGGCAATACTAATGGTATCTAATGAGTAGAGTCCAGGGTAGCTGCTAAATAAACATCCTGCAGTGGCACAGGATGGCTCCCACATCAGAGAATTACCAGGCCCAAAATGTCAGCAGTGCTGAGGTTGGGAAACCCAGATTTTTAGGATATGCAGGTAGTTGCACTTCCTTTCCAACCCCCCAGAGAAGCTCTCAGGGTTCTTCTTCTTTTTTTAAATCTGTTTTTAATATTCAGGGTTCTTTAATTACTGATTTTATTGGTTAGCTGGTTTGCTACCTTTGGCAGAAGTTACATTTTATGGATATAAGTATACTACTTAGATCTGAAGGCTAGGTAGATGCTTAAAAGGAGTGCCTTTCTGTGGAATTTTGAAATGTAATAAGTGACCTTGAAAACTTAAGTATCATTACTGCAAAACAGCATATTTTCCTTAATATTGTGAATTTGTGTTGGTAACAAAGCATGTCTGTATGTTTTGAAAATTAAAATTCTTGAAGCAAGTGTCCCACACCTCCTTCATTTTTAAGGCTCTTATTAATCACTTGATTTACATAATTAGTTCCCTTGATATTATTTTTTAGAACCTGGGCTTTCTCTCTAGGTTGGCAACCTGTGCAACTGTAACATAAATTCACATAAAACGTCAGTAAACATTTCAATATTGCTCTTTTCTGTGGAATCATCCTTTTTACCTCATTAATAAAGAATTCTAAAGTAACCAAAGCCTAGTCCACTGCTATATGTAACTACAGTGGCTGAGAGAGAAACATAAATTTGTTTTACCTTCTACCTAGATTCTTAGAAAATTATTGAGGTTGTTTTGTCTCCTGATTTCTTGGAAATTTTGGTATCTAAATTGTAAGATAGGATTTCCAGGTGATAGTTACAAAAAAGAGCTCAAAAATTTTAAAGACTCATAAATAATAGTTATAAGAATTATCCAGAGACTAAAACATTTTTTAGATTTATGTTTGGTGTTTAAGTAGTAGAACTTTTCAAGTGTTCATTTTTTAGTATCATCATCATTAATAATACTCATTAAATGTTTTCTTTGTACTTATGGAAAGCACCGTGCTACTACTTATTGAGAAATATGTTGGGGTTCTGGGGATAAGTGAAAGGTGTAACATAGATAATATTCCAAAATTGATAGTCTTTTCACTACCACAGTAATTCTTGTAAAGTGAGATACATTTTCTCTTTTGCATGCTGACTAAAGTATTATGAATTATTGACCAGTTATGGGTTAAGCTATCTAAAGAATTAAGTTTCATGTTTCTCACATTCATATTGTAGTGGCGATGGGTATCTTTCCTAAATTAGTAAGTGTGCCATATTATCATCTCAAAAATTCAGCTTTTTCTCATGAAGATAATACTTAATGGTTTTTCTTTCTTTTTAAAGAGATACTATACAGCTTGATTTTTATTATATAGAAGCAATCATAACACTGACTTCTAAATTTCACAGGAGGGATTCAGTTCCTCATGCATGCAGAGGTCTTAAATGGTTCATTGAGTTTCCTCTTAACACACTATAAATACCTGAATTTTTTGGGGAAAAAAATTATTGCAGTACACTTGAAAAATTACTCAGCTACACACAGTGGAAGTTTCTTTGTTTTGATTATTAGATTACTGGCAGTGACTACACTGTTCATTTCTAGTCATTGGTTCTCTCTATATTGTGCCTACCTTTTGCAGAAAGTGAAGTGAAAACCTTGGTGATAGAGATATTCCAGATTTTTATCTGTAAATTGGAAAGATTTTTCTTGTTGACCTTATTTGTTAGCCAGTGTTCTTTATAAACATGATTTATTTTCTTAAATTTATTTTACTTTAAAGATGTTCATCTTTCAGATGCCTTGTAGCTTTTATTTAGACTTGAAAAGAGACATTAGAGAAATAAAGGTAGACGTACTGAAGTACTCTCAAGTTTTCTTTCTAGTTGAGTTAAGCCAAGGGAGAGACAGGAACCTAGATTCCATTATCCCCCTTCTTTCAATCCCCTCATTTGAGTTCCCCAAAAAGAAACCCTGCATTTCAGTTCCTGCCTTTTATTGCATCACCAGTCTTGTACATATAGAAATGCCAGATTATATTTCTCAGGCAACACTTAAAATAGTTTCACCTCATTTCATCCTTTCTGTTACTAGCAGGAAGTAGATTAAGTGAAAAGACATTTGCCACTAGTCTGTGTGCTTTACCATGGTTAAATAAATTGTTCCAATACTTTTTGTGCTTATTAAGTTCTATATCCTATAGGATGGCTCCGTATGAGAGAATTTTGTCTGGACCTATTTTAATTTTTTCAGTTAGTAGAATTTTCATTCTGTTTTCTCAAGTTTCAGTTTTGGCCTTCTTCATATATGTGATTGATATTTGTGTTTTCCTGACCTTCCTGAAATTTATATTTCTAAATTTAGATTGTTGGCAGCTTTCATTAACGTAATTTTCACTTCTAAGAAGTTTCTAAATGAAATTGGATTTAGTGAAAATATATTTTTCAAAAGTGGAGTTATGAACCGGGTATGGTAGTTTGTGCCTATAGTCCTAGCTATGTGGGAGGCTGAGGCAGGAGGATTACTTGAATCTAGCCTGGAGAACAAGTGAGACCTCATCTCTAACAAAAAATAAACAAAAAGTAAAAGTGGACTTCATGCTTTATTTGATTTGCCTTTTATGGTGGTTTTACAAATCAGTTTAGATAAGTTTACTTGGTGAATATTTATGACATATATTTTTTTAAATATGAGAAGTTTACTGTAGTCTTTTCAGCAATTTTGAATTTTTATGCATACATTTATATTTGTTTTGGTTTACATAACTACCTTTTTATAAATACATACCACTTATTAAAAGTGGCATTCCCCTAAATATTTATGAAATTGATAACATTCAGATTTCTTCTTTACTGTATATTAATGTGATTATTCATGCATACTCTTCCTTTCTGTCAGTCTCTTGGGTATAAGGCTGTTGCTATTTTCTAAATAGTTAAATAGGTTTGAGTGTAAGTTAGCTAATTCTTAAAATGTACCTTAACCAAGCCATCATATTTGTCTTCTCAAATATTTGTACATGCAGATTTTACATATTTAGTTTTTGACTTTTTGCAGATTTGAGATAAGGCTAATACTTATACATTAGCACTTCAGATTGAAAGCATGATCGTATTTAGCTTTTAAAAGAGATTACCTTATTTGATGCTACTTACATAATATTTCCTTTATGAAATACATTTTTTCTTTGGTAGTGATTTCAATTATGAATGTCCCCAGGTTGGGTCCTTAGTATAGAATGGCCTAATAATTTATCTCACAAGGTTGTTGTGAGGTTTAACTTAAATATTTGAAAGTGGCTTAGCATATAAACGATGTGATTAAGTAAATGTGTGACAGTATAATTTTTATTTTATGTATCTGAAAATCTATCTTATTGACTGATCTTTTGGGGGCTTTATAGATCAACTTTCCAAGGTCATTATTTATTTTTGCAGTTCAGTGCATAGCTTAATGTTGAGGTATTTACTGTTCTTTTACCTTTTGTTTTAAGGTACTTAAAAAGTAGCATTGGTTCTTGTACCATTCATTGTTATGTTTGTCCTCATTAGTTGATTGTTGTGTGTTAAACAGACATCCCTGGAGCTTATTCTCCACACTCTGTGAATCCACTCATTAATCACCAGTCACCTTTGGAGATGGGAAAATTACTTACCTGTATTTCTTTTTCTCAGAAAGCGTGCTCTGGAATGGATTCACAAATGAGCTACCCTCCTTCCCTCAAAGAGTAAGGTTTCTGCTTTACAGGATTTTTTTCTTGGGTTATTTTTCCTCTCATCTTTTGAATTTGAAAAGAACTGAGGGAAGGCACCTGAAGAAACTACTGACATACTCACTAGGGGAGTTCCAAAGCTTGTGCTGCCCCTAGGGGCAGTGTCAATGGCTCTTAAAGCTAGAAAGCTCATACTTGGAGTTGAAACAGGGGCTCAAAGAATCCATTTTCCCAGTGTACCTTCTGAAAGGATAAGTTTCAGGTAAGTAATTTTCTCTTACTATGTGATACGCTTTATTCATACTTAAAAAGTACAAAAGTCCAGTTCTCCAGGTACATGGGCAATTGTATTTGTTTATAGTTTAGATTCATAACCTTTACTGAATGTCAGAAACACAAAAACTTATAAAAATAAAATATATTTGCTCTTGAGATACATATAATTTATTTTAAGTCAATAATACATTTTTAGTTAAAGGTGTATTTATGATCAGTTTATTGTACTTGTGCTATAATTTTCTTTATTATTAAATAAAATTTTGAGACACTTTTAAAATAATAAAAACCAAAAAGTGGTATTTTAAACTCAGTTTCTAAATGATGATTGACTAAAGTTGTGTGTGTGTATGCAGACATACGTAAATACACACATACATATAGGCTATGATGATGACAACTATTTACTTCAAATTAGATGCCTTCTGTATGTATATTGACCAGAATACATTGCTCAAGTGATTTTTAAATATTTGTATAATTTTTAAAAATTACCATGAGACGATTTGAGCTGTTGCAACTAAAATATTTATTCAGTGTAGTAGCTATATGTAGTGTGGATTTAGCTACTTAATCGAAACATTCTTTAGAGTCCTTCAAATATTTATAGTCAGTTTTTCAGTTACTAAATATGAGGTGGCTACTAAAGAGTAACAAAAAGTAGATGGCATTTACTGCCATTGGCTCTCTGTGCATTTTTGCATTCTCATTAAATCCCATGCCGATCCAGTATTTTAAAGTATTTCAAACATTTCCTCTTTTTTTCCTTCAGAAGCAGTTTTTAAAAAGTGAAAGTTACATAGAAAATGGTCCATATGAACAAGATAGCAATTTAAAGTATAGACTTTTCACTTACTGTTAAGTCTGGGTTGACCAACTTCAGCCATTTGGAACAGCAACTCTTTACTTGGAATTAAGCAGAAAAGACTTTTGAGTAGCAAACGACTATCATGTAGTATATGCGTTTTTCTCTGAACCTGGGAGTAGCAGTAGATTATGTCCCAGTTTCAGGGCTTACTGATAGTAGCCAAAACTAACAGCTATTTCCAGAAGCAGGGAAAAGAGAATGTATTAGTGTAAACCTAAAGCAGTTCAGGTTCAAAGAATTGAGGTGTATACTACCTTGATTTCCTCCAAGAATATTGTTCTTATAGTGAGAGTGAGTCAGAATATTCTTGTCTAAGGTGTTCATTTGTTTCAGAAAGATTTTGGACAGCTTTGTCAAAATAACTTTGAAATAGAAGTAAAAATTTAGTATCAAATGAATTGAATCGATAAATTATTATAACTGCACTTTAGATTTGGCACTGAGCAGCCTTCTCACAGCCACCTGGCAATGAGAAAAATAGTGTCAGGCTGGGTGTGGTGGCTCACGCCTGTAATCCCAGCACTTTGGGAGGCCAAGGCAGGTGGATCACTTTAGGTCAGGAGTTTGAGACCAGCCTGGCCAACATGGTGAAACCCCATCTTTACTAAAGATACAAAAAGTAGCTGGATGTGGTGGCACATGCCTGTAGTCCCAGCTACTCGGGAGGTTGAGGCAGGAGAATCACTTGAACCCGGGAGGCAGAGGTTGCAGTGAGCTGAGATTGCACCACTGCACTCTAGCCTGGGCAACAGGGTGAGACTCCATCTTAAAAAAAAGAAAAAAAGAAAAATAGTGTCAATTATATAGTTATTAGATAATTCTCATTGTTATGTATGAAGTATTAATATATACATTCTTTACAGAAAAATAAAGCTATACCTTACTCTAAATTTTAAAAGAAATGTTTAATGAATTATCAATATAGAGGCATTGAACAATAAATTATCATTGTTTTAAGAATTTTTTTTTTAGTTCAAAGACTATAGTTGATCTCATAGCTAAGGTAACATGCAGTAATCTTTATTGTTTTATTCAGGAAGCAGATATTGTTTCAGTCCCTGTTGCCCAATTCTAGGATATCATCAGTTAAGTTATAAGATGCAATATTGAGTGAATAATGGCTCTTGGGAGAGAATAAGGACTGCTACATTGAGTAATTATGTTACTGTATACGAAAAGTTAAAATGTGAACATTAAGGAAATATGACATATTTTAGAAAGGTGACCATCAAAGGTGATCAGTATCAACAAATGAATGAAGTGTTTCAGTTCTATGATGTGTGGTTTTTCAGAAAAGGACATCAAAGAGGGTTTTATAATTTTGCACTGCCCATCATTTACATAATTTTTTTAGTAAGATGAACAGAAAACTTAAAAATCTTAATTATCTAGCCGAAGAGTTCCATGTCTTCAGGTGTGAGGGTGGTAACTGGATATATCAACATTGCTCTGAACGTGAAGCACAAGACACATGATGTGTGTACATGATTTGTATGGTCTAATTCCTTTAGAAATGCATTTTGGTCAATCTTTAACATTAAGGAAATACAAAAGTAATGAGTTCTTAGAAAAAAGGCACTGCTAAAAGATTTAGGTGTATCTGAAATACGTTGCAGTCAGTTGAGTAATACTCCCCATAATTAGTTAAGAAAATTTTTAACTTGATTTTCATGTAACTAGTAGGAAACAGAATTTATTTTCTGAGACTTTTGTTTTCTGTTTTCTCTTTAAGCTTCTTTCATTTTACCTTCTCTATTCTTTGGAGAATAGCCAAAACATTGAATGTTCTATGCTTATAATCTTATTGAGATTTTATGTCAGGGTAGGAATATTTATTATATTTATATTATATTTACCCTTTTGTGTATTCTGTTCACGTTGCATAAGGCACTTGTATTGATCCTTTTCCAAGTTGTGCAAAAATGAGATAATTTTTAAAAAATTTACTTCATAAAAGTCACACAAGTCACAGTATTTGCGACCTCATGGTTTTTTTTTTTTTCCCCCGTAATAGAGATCAAAACTTTGTACAGCAAAAGCTAAGGCTTTTAGTGATTTGTTATACCAAGATAGTTTTCTTAAACCAAATATTCTTAAGTAATATTCTTTGGGTTTACTTTCCAATATAGACTGATAAAATGTTTAACAATGCTTCTAACTTTTAAGCTATTTTGTTTCCTTAATCTTGTATTTCTGGTGATTTTAAGGTTTCTACAATTTGAAACAGTTCTTAACATCATAAAACATTGGTGATATCATTTCTTTATTACCTTCCCAAATGTGCCTTTTATTTTTATGTACAAGGGCTCTTGGGAATGATTCTCTCAGAGGCTTAAGCTGTGCTTTGCCTTTCATGAGAACTGAAATTATTTGGTAAGCGCTTGCTTTCTTTTTAGCTTCTAATTTTTCCCTATTTTATTTTGTACATGATATTTGTTTCAAGGTCAAAGGTTCCGTTACAGTTACTATGATGAATCCCAGGGGGAGATTTATAGATCCATTGAACATCTAGATAAAATGGTAAGTCTTTCAGGTGTGGGATTTTAATGCTCTAAGGCTTTTTCTTTAATTTCAGATTAGTAATTCAAGACTTAACATGTTGAAATAATATATTTTTTCCCTATCTTTAAATGTACAAAATGCAATGTGTCATCATATAAATACTGACTATAAGAATAATCCCTATTCTAGTAGGAATTTCCGTCATCATAATTTTGTTTGATTAATGAGAATATTTAAGAATAATATATACGGATTTAAAATACTTTCTAGAGAAGTACTTTAGCTTTAGGAACAGTAAGATACTAATACCATTATTTACTGTTAAGCAGTAATAACCATAGCAGATGATGGGATACCTTGACTCTAATTCCTGTTTGTTTCACGACTACCTGAAATATTTTTTTTTGAGTCCTTCTTTTGACTCCTTCTGAACAGCATTGTTGTTTTTTAAAATTTATTAAATAACTTAGTATATTTTTAGTTTTGATAGCAGACCAAATTACTGTTCTTAAGTGATGATGAAGATTTTATGAATTAGCTAATAAAAATCTGTATTCTGTTGGAGGAATTATATGTAAACTTGAAGTAAATAACCTGAAAATTTTAGACTGAAAGTCTTTATTTTTTAAATTATTGCCCCTTTACCTCTGGAAATAAAAGACATCATAGCCTTATGATGACAGTGTGCAGGAATTCCAATATACACAAAATGTAGCTAACTTGAATCTTGTCTGCTATGCTGAAGGGATTTATACATATACTTTATTTTAAAATTTAAAATTTCAGGCATGTTTGTTTTGTTTTGTTAATTTATTTTTATTATTTCCTTGGACCAGCAGTTTGACCTGACAGAGGCATATTTATTTTGGAACTACTTTTTTTTTCCTTCAAATTTTTAGAAGCTCTCAAAATCTAAAATTCAGTGGAATTAATATTTTAAACATAATAAACTCACATCATTGATATATTTCTGTAAAATATCCTGTAAATCAGATTGTTATATATCTAATTTCATTTTTGTTTTGATTTGCATTTCCCATTGATCTTAAGCATGCATATTAAGATATTTCTTTTTTCCTTTTTTTAAGAGACAGGGACTCATTCCGTTACTGAGGCTGGAGTGCAGTGGCACATCATAGCTCCCTGCAACCTGGAATTCCTGGGCTTAAGCAATCTCCTGCCTTAGCCTCCTGAGTAGCTGGGACTATAGGCACATGCCACCATACCCAACTAATATTTATTTATTTATTTATTTATTTAGAGAGAAGGTCTCACTCTGTGGCCCAGGCTGGCGTGCAGTGGTGTGATCTTGGCTTACTGTAGCCTCTACTTCCCGGGCTCAAGCGATTCTCCCACCTCAGCCTCCTGAGTAGCTGGGACACAGGCGCCTACCACCAAGCCCATCTAATTTTTGTATTTTTTGTAAAGACAGGGTTTCACCATGTTGCCCAGGCTGGTCTCAGACTCCTGAGCAGAAGTGATCTGCCAGCCTCAGCCTCTCAAAAGTCCTGGGATTACAGGCATGTGACACCGCACCCAGCTTTTTTCTTTTCTTTTCTTTTTTTGTAGAGACAAGGTCTTGCTTTATTGCCCAGGCTAGTTTTGAACACTTGGCTTCAAGCAACCCTCCTGCCTCCCAGAGTGCTGGGATTACAGGTGTGAGCTGCCGCACTTGGCACATATTAAGACTTGAACTTTATGGCCTGGAGCCTTCAGGTATCTATTAAAAAGAGCTATAAAAAAAGCATAAGAAAACAAAATTATTTTTACAGATGCAAATAATTTGTTTTTTTCTCTTCATTTGTCCTTTTGCTCTTTTTACAAATTCTTAGTGTATTGTCTTGTTTTTGGGCCATTTGGATTTTTCTTTTTTTCCTTTTTCTGTTTTTTTTTTTTTTTTTTTTTTTTAAAGACAGGCTCTCACTCTATCACCTAGGCTGGAGTGTAGTAGCACCATCATGGCTCACTGCTGCCTCAACCTCCCAGGCTCAGGCAGTCCTCCTACCTCAGTCTCCTGAGTGGCCGGGAGCACAGATGCATACCACCACACCTGGCTAATTTTTTTTTGTAGTTTTTTGTAGAGACGAGGTTTCGCCATGTTGCCCAGACTGGTCTGGAACTCCTGAGATCAAGTGATCCACCCTCCTTGGCCTCCCAAAGTGATGAGGTTACAGGCATGAGCCACTGCACCTGGCCTGGATTTTTCTTAAAAGGAATTTCAATTCGTTGTTCTAAACACAGAATTTTTAAATATAATTATATTCTTACCTAGCTAAGGAGTACAGTAGATGTTGATCCTACTGTCTTTTTTTCTTGAAGTGCCATGGTAGTCATAATATTTTTTCTTTTCCTTCTTTTCTTTCTTTTTTTATTTTTTTGTGAGACAGTGTCTCCCTCTGTCACCCAGGCTGGAGTGCAGTGGCACAATCACAGTTCACTGCAGCCTCAGCCTGCTGGGCTTAAACAGTCCTCCCACTTCAGCCACCCAAGTAGCTGGGACTATAGACATTTACCACCACGCCCGGCTAATTATTTTTATTTTTATTTTTTAGAGATGGGGTTTCGCCATGTTGTCTAAGCTGATGATACTTATTTTAATTTTTTAAATAACACAAATAATTTTAGGATTTACTCATAAATAGTATTAAATATAGCAGAACAGCTCTAACTTGCTCTCTATGACCACTGACAGATTATTTTAATACTCTAGTTTTCATTTCCTTATCTGGAAGAAGATAGACTTGGACTAAATGGTCTCTAAATTGTCTTTAAATTCTGTCAGCTTGTAAGTCTTCAGTTTGTTCAAATCAGCTCTACCAATGTGTTAAGCCTTATGCATATGTTTTAGTACAAGATTATTTGGTTTAAAGTAGATCAAATATTTTAGTAAGGAATCTGGATTTGAATGTATAAATAGAATATATCATGTAGTATATTTTATTAAAGCCAAATGTAATGAATGTAAAGTTGGTTACTTAGTGTGTTTATCATGTTTAAACTTACCTTAGTTGCTACTTTAAATCCAATTATTGTCCAATACTTTTACCTTTAGAATTTTATTTGGATTTTAATGTATTACCTTCTTTTTGGCTTCCTGATGTTTTCATTTCAGTTGTTTAACTCTCCTTTGACTTCTAGTCTTTTTATTCTGAGGTTTAGTTCTCAGTTGCCTCAGAAAACTTTTTCTGGCTTTTTCCATATAGCAAATGATTAATGATTGTCAAAGCAAATGGTTAATGGGTATCTGCTATATGTCCGGTACTCTGTGCAGTATTGAGGACATAAAGAAGAGAAAACATAGTCCGTGACTTAATGGAGTCCAGTGGTTGAACATACTTACAAAGAAGCCATTACAATATAGAGAGCTGAGAGACATTTAGGAGGTAGAATGAAAAGGACTTTAGGGATTAATTAGGTGTGTCATGTTAAGGGAGTGGTGGGATGTGGGATGATTTCTGGCTTCCTTGTGTACATAGATGCTGATACTCACTAATACAGGGAATATAAGAGGGACAGATTTAAGGAAAAAGATGAGTTCAGTCTTATACATGGGTTTTGTGTTATGTTTAGAACTGCACTTTTTGATACTGTAGCCACCAGTCACATGTATTTATTGAGTATTTGAAGTGTGGTTATACAACTTGAAATATACTGTAAGTGTAAAATATACACTGGATTTTGAACATGTAGTATGAAAAGAACAAAAATATCTCAGAAATCTATCTTGATTATATTATAAAATGATACTGCCAGATTGTGTTTAATAAAATATCTTAAAATTAATTTTACCTGTTTATTTTTTAAATATGGCTATAATAAATTTTAAAATTACATATATGGCCTGCATTATATTTTTATTGGACAGTACTGGTTTAGAACATGAAGGTAGGTCTGGATGGAGATAAACATTTTGAAATTATTGGTGTATGAGGAGTGGATGGGAAGAAAGGATGTTAATGCCATTGTTTAGAGAGTCAATCTCCAGAGAGAGTATAAGGAGTAGGAACAAAGGGGGAGTTAGATCAGATGGACATACCAGCATTAAGTGGAAGAGGAGATAAAGCAGAGCCAGTAGAGTTCTGCTTAGAGAGAACTGAGAATGAGCAATATCACAGAGAGGATGAGCTTTATTTAGCAAAGAGGGAGGAAGAGTATCAAATGCTGCACAGAGGTGAATTAAGAACCTTGCAAGAGCAGTTTCAGTGGAATCAGCTTAGAATCTAAATTGGAATGAAGAGGCAAAAACCAAATGTGAAAAATTATTCTCTACTAGTTTGAGTATGACAGAAAGGAGCAATGTTTAAATGTTAACTGATTTGGTAGATGACGAGATCCAGGGAAACACAGTCACAGGAGGAGTTTTTAAAGATGGAAACTATGAGATTACTTCAGAATTTCCAGTAACATTAATCCCTAATTTGAGGTATTGGAGAGATTTGACTTAAGATTATATCAGCTATATGATTCTCGTTTCTCCTCGGTTTAACCTTTCTTGTGTTACATTTTATTCATTTAGGAAAGAATCTCTAAGGAGGAATGGCTGCATATATGTGAAATATAAATTATTAATGGTATGCATGTAAATTTTCCCGTCATTAAAATTGTCTTTTTTTGGTTAGGTAACCATACAGAAAATAATTTTGAAAGATACCTCAGTACTAAAAATTTTCAAAGTAAATAAAGTCTTCCTGGACATGGTCTTTAGCAAGTTTGTACTAAATTTTATGAAAGTAATGCTTTTTGCACCAAAAATATAAAAGAACTCCTGCCAGAAGCACGTGCTCAAACACCGTACATAATTTCCACTTGGATGTCTTATAAACAGCTCATACTAAACATATTCCAAACGGAATTCCTGATTTTCTTCCCACCAAGACCTGTTCTACTCATAGGCTTTCTTAATTCAAATGATGGTGGTCCTATCCTTCCACTTTCCTAACTGGTCTTCTTAGACCTACCCTGGTATTCTTCAGTCTCAGGTGGCTTAAAGTAGGAACCAAAGCAATTATTTTAAAATCTAAATCAGATCATGTTACTCTTCTGCCCCATATCTCCTGTAAAATTGCCCCCTTTCAGTCAGAATAAAAGCCAGTGTCTTTACAGTGGGTAGACAAAAAGGACCAACATGATTTGCAGCCCCCAAATGTTAAGAGCCCTCCATTTTCTTACTTTTACTCTTCCTTCACTCTACCGTGGACACACTAATCTCCTTACTGTGCCTTGATAATGTCATGTATCTGCCTAGCTTAGGGCGTTTGCCCGTTTTGCTTAGCTCTCACCTTCTCACTGGGGCCTTCTGACTACTCTATTTAATTTTGCATCCTACATCCTACCCTTGCAGCATTCCCAGTCCACCGTACCCTGTTCCACTTTTTCTTCTAAAAAACTAAATACTTAATTACATTTCTGTCAATCAGGATATTTGTTTTGTTCTCCGATGTATACAAAGTGCCTAGAATAGTGATTAGAATATAAGTAGGTGGTCAATACATATTTTTCAAATGAATAAATTAATGGATATAATCTTCCTGTACGCAGTTTAAAACCATGACTTTCCTAACTGTAACATGTAAAGGAAATAAAAGGAATTTATAATAAATATATATTTAAGAATGTAAATGCCCAGTCACAACTAAATTAGAAGGTACAATGAAGTATTTAAATATTTATGAATAGTATTATTAATGTAAAAACAGCTTCAAATACACACTTACACACGTATGTATTAGTGACTGAAATTACTAAGTGCCATTGCTAGTGACTTGATTTTCCAAAATGGTGAACAATTCTTAGTAAACTTGTAAACAAAACCAGTACAGTCTTCCCTCACTTTACATGATAGTTTTATTCCTGGGAAACTCATTGTATATTAAAATCAATGCAAAACTTATTTCTGTTTGTATATGAAGTGGAATTAATGTATAGATAATTAAGGCTGTAGATATTCTGTAGTCTTATGGATGGAGAACAGTCTTTGTGTATGAAACTGTCTTGTGTCAGCATCCCTGGAATCCCACTGAGTCCCAATAGCATCTTCAAATTATTGTGACAGCCAAAAAGCGTGCATCATTTTCCATTAGCCTCCTTGGATGAACAGCTGTTCATTGGCCTTACCCTGCTGTATTTTTATTCTAGGTATTTATTACTGCATGACTTACTCATTTGTTGATTTGTCTTGGGGTTATCTCCCTCACTGGATTACGTAAGCTTCATGAGAACAGGGACTTTGTCCATTTCCCATCCTAGTGCCTGTCAGTGGGCACACAATATATACAGTTGTTGAATGAGTGCTGGATAAATGGATGGGGAGGGTGGTGAGAAGTGAAACTTGAAGACTCCAGAACAGCTATCTTGAAGGATCTTACATAGGGAAGTGATAAAGTTGGTTTTGTATTTGAATAGATCATATGGCTGCAGTGTAGCAAATGGGTTGGAAGGAGGCTGGAAGAGATAACGTGTAGACCAGTTAGGTAGTCCAGATGAGAAACTATGGTAATTTAGACAGTGGGTAGGGTGATGGTGGTAGAAGAGAGGGACAGAAATGTATATATTCAGTACATTTAGGAGACAAATTGATGATGGGACTTGGAGGTGGATTGAGCTTGGGGGGTCAAGGAAATGTCAAGGATGACTCCTAAATTTTTGGCTATGCTGCTGGTTCGATGGTTGCATTATTTATTTAGGCCATAAGGACCAAAATGTTTTTGGTGGGGGTGGGGCAGGAAGATAATAAATTCTATTAGGGATATGTTATGTTTGCTGTTGCCTTTAAGACATCTAAGTAGAGATGTCAATTAGGTAGACATTTGGATTTTCATTTTGCCAATTATTTTTGAGTACATATACATCCTGAGGTGTTGGTGGAGATACAGCAGTAAGCAAACATGGTTCTTGCTGTCATAAAACTTCTAATTGGAGGAGATATGTGTTAATTTTAAAAGGTAAGGAAATATATTAATTAGTTTCAAGTAGGAATGTGTGCAGAAAATACCTAAAAAGGTAAATGATGGTAAATGATTGGAGGCTGTTTTGGATTGAGTGGTCTGAGAAAGACTACCTTGAGGATGAAAATTAAAGTGAGTTCTGAATGATAAGAAAGCAAATCAAGTAAAGATCAGCGGGAAGAGCATTTTAGACAGGAGAAGTTGCCAGTGCAAAGACCTTAAGATTGGAAAGAAGCTGGTGTGTTAGAAGAAAAGGAAAAAGCCTGTGTTGTGGGAGTATGGTGTGTAAGAGTAAGAAGAGTGGTGTGTATAAAAGAGGCAGGGAGCTGATAATATAGGGTAATAATTGAAGGTAAGAACTTTATATAAGTACAATAGGAAGTGAAATGATATAATTTGAATTATTTTTAAGGTCACTGTGGTAGTTGTGTGGCAAATGGATTACACAGGAGGGTCAGAGGTAGCAACAATGGGGCTGGGGGCGGTGGCTCATGCCTGTAATCCCAGCAGTTTGGGGGGCCGAGGCGAGCAGATCACTTGAGGTCAGGAGTTTGAGACCAGCCTAGCCAACATGACGAAACCCCCTTTCTCCTAAAAATACAAAAATTAGTCGGGCATGGTGGTGCATGCCTGTAGTCCCAGCTACTCGGGAGGCTGAGGCAGGAGAATCGCTTAAACCTGGTAGGTGGAGGTTACAGTGAGCCGAGATTGCACCACTGCACTCCAGCTCTGGGGACAGAGCTGAGACTCTGTCTCAAAAAGAAAAAAAATAAAGGAAGTAGCAACAATGGGCCATTGGCAGAAGTTCAAGGGAGAGATGATAGTAACTTGGACTGTGGTGATGTTGGTGGAGGTAGAATGAAGTGGATGGAGGTCAGATCTTTTCAGAAATAAGAGTCAAAAGGACTTTGCTAATGGGTTGACTATTTTGGTTTGGAACTCAGGAAGGCTTTCAATTGGACTAGAGATGTAAGTTTGGGAGGTCTCAGTAGATCATTAAAGCCAGGACAGAGATGAGATTGCCTACTATAGTAATCATTAACCTTATCATTACAACAGAACTCACTTGTGGTACTTTGTTGAAATTTGCTGAGACCCTGTCTCAAAAAAGAAAAAAGGGAATAAATTGTACAGTAGAACCACTTAGCCCAGGTTGACTTCTAAGTTTGCATCTGATTTACCTTACTTTAGATATCCCAAATTACTGGAACATAATTTTAAAAATTTTATTTAAATACCCTGGAATATGATTTCTGAATAAATATTGAGTATTTGCTTCATATTAATATGCTTGAATTTAATATTTGATTTTAACATTTGGACTTGGAGTTTATTTCTGTGGTCCATTTGTTGAGATATATTTATTTATATATAGAATTTTTAAATGGCTCATAAGTGTTCTATTTTATTAGTATATTGTTGATTCAACTTATAAGTCAATTCTGGGAGTTAGAATACATGGGTCAAAATAATAAGACCCGTGTATGGTTAGCTCTAGACATAAACTTAGGTGTGTTTATATTACCTATGTATATATATATGTACACTTGCTGTTAGGCAGACTTAAATATTGTATTGTCTTAATTGATTAATCAGATGGTGAATGTACTTTTGCATATTTATTTTCTAAGAGATTATTTTATATTATAAATAATTTAAATCATTTGAGAACCAATATCTTAGTTTTCATATGTGATCTTTTCAGACAAAATGTACTTGGATGGTTCTCTGTATAAGCATTATAAAAATGTTAATTTTGAATTCCAATAATATACATTTTGGAAGTTTGATAGAGTAAAAAGAAACTAAGTATAAAATTTTAGATTACATCTGTTCAAAATTAGCATGTTAATTAAGTTTTGGTCCTTTTTAACTGAAAACTATTACTAAATATAGTTATTACAAGGCTAGAAAATAAAACTAAGTTGCAAAAGAAAAATAGCTATTCTTATTGCAAAATGTTTATATTTCTAGCACTTGAATATCTTAGAAATTAATTATGTGAAAAAACACATAAAATATAGGAGAACAAACTACCGAATGTAGTTGGGAAAAACTATGTAACTGTAGCATAGGATATCTAAACTCTGAAAGTCTTGTAATTTTATTGGCTATAGACCAGTGTTTTTGGTAATTAGTGCTTTGCAATGTCAATAATTACTGTGACTAAAGCAGAACCTAGTTGGAGATACTGATCTTGTAAACTTTACTTACTTGAAATATTAGTCATAGTTATTCATATGAGATGGTCATAGGTTATCATTTTTATTATACTACTTTTTTTGGTGTAGACCAGTGTTTCATTATGGACATTGGCAAATTATGATTCGGCAAGGATAATCTGAAAATGTCATTGTATTCATCTGTTATAACTTCTTTTTCTTTTAAATTTATCAGTTACTTCACTTAATTTGAATGTGAACTACTTTTCTTCCTTCCTACTGTTTTAAAAGTGAAAATTGTTCCTTCGTCACCTCATACTTCTTTCTCTTGAACCTAAGCCAATAGCTTTTTAGTAAGTTTTATAACATCACTTATAAGATAGCCATTTATTAGTACATTACTTAGCACTGCTATTTTTAAGGTGAGTTTTTTCCATAAAACTTTCACTGTTACTATTTTATCTTGATACCTCTTAAAGAAACTAGAATATTTCCTTTTCCTACCCCATGTCACTAAATGTATACTTATCTGCAAATATAAATATATATCCTTTAAACTATAAACCCACAAATCTAATGATTTGATAATATGGTGTTAATTATGTGGTTGGAATTAAAAGATATGATTCTGGTTTTTATTTCGTAAGTGCCTCTAAAATGTTTTGCTACTCCTTTGCATTTGTTACTTTTGGGAGAGATTTCCTTCTGGGTGATAATTTTTAGATTGTCATTTTATTAAATATAGGTAAACTTTTTTAAAGAGGGAAGATAATTTGTTGTCTTATCAGGGTCCTGAATCTGAGCTTTGTCAGTTAATACTGCCTATTTAGTTTGGGGTTGCCACTTGGAATTTGACATCACAAATATTCACTGATTACTTGAAGAGTCAACACAATGATAGACTGGCTCACCCCCTAAATTTAGGGAGTTAGCTTTCAATTTGTGGATTTGTTTCTGAAACTTAAATTCCTCAGAAACCTGTATCCTTGATGGATGGGCTTTTGGTGTTTATAATGTCTGCCTTATATCTTAGCGCTGAATGGGTAGTATAGTGACCCATTTCACTCCTCCACATTAGGTTAAGTTTATGTGAACAATCAAATTTTCACTATACTAGGCCTTAGGAAGCTCTCATTGCCTGGACTTTAGACTTACTGATCATATCTTCTACTCTTTTAAGAAATAAAACAGTTAATTCAGCCTAATTGGGGAAGGATATTCTTTTTCATCTTCTTGGACTTTTGCCAACAGCATTGAACTAGCATTTCTATCTTTTTGGAATTTTCCTAATAGTAATCTCATAGCTGTTAACATAAAAACATAGGTATATCTAGAAGTGTATTTGCCAGTATCCTGTATTAGTTAATAATGTTCCATTTCTAAATTTTATCATTATTGCTTTTGTTTGCATACTTCATGAATTTTTCAATTAGAGAGGTTCACTTATGAGAAAAGCCTTAGTTTTCCCATCTTTCCTTATAAAGAGGCATACCTCTTAAACCATCACTTGTGTCAGCTGAGTATAATTGAATTAATTTTTGCACTACTAAGTTTATAGCCCACTTTAAAGAATTAAAATTTTTGTACATTTAATTTCTTAACTCCCATCATCTCAATTTTTTATTTTCTGTCTTGTAATTTAACCAGTATATCTTCATTTTTAACTCTTTACTTAGTAGTATTTTTTCTGCATTTAATCTCCTGTTTTTCTATATTAGGTTTTCTTGACCAGTTACTTTGAATTCTTGGTCTTCTGAAATGTGATTAGTTTTCTTCTGTTTAAATTCATATCAGTATATAAATGTGATGTTTGTTCTGAATGTGCTTTGAGATTTTAATATTAAAATGTACATTAGAATCTCAGTGTCACATTATTTATTAATGAGTGGATTTATAAGGTAAGCTGTCCTAGATAGACTTCATTCAGGAGTATTAAAAGTTCACCTACAACATGTATGCAAGTTGTAGCTATGTAAGTGTTCAAAGAATTGTTAGTATGAGTCTTGTTATACTTTAGTACATCAGAGTAGAGAGTGAGAAAGAGCCTACAATTAGAAATTTAGAATCAGGACTTTTGCCTGTTTTGTGCCTCTGTTCATTTATCTCTAGGGGAGTTATATCTTGATCATCCATTATTTATGGAAGAGATTTATAACTCCATCTCTGCATTACTACAATCCATTCTTGGGTTAGAAATGTACTGTAATGTTTTTGGCATCAGAATTATGATATAGTTTATATAGGTTTAACTTTGTGTGTGTGTGTGTGTGTGTGTGTGTGTTTTGAGACAGAGTCTTGCTCTGTCGCCCAGGCTGGAGTGCAGTGGCACAATCTCGGGTCACTGCAACCTCTGCTTCCCAGGTTCAAGCGATTCTCCTGTCTCAGCCTCCCATGTAGCTGGGATTATAGGCATGTGCCACCATGACTGGCTAATTTTTGTATTTTTAGTGGAAATAGGGTTTCACCATGTTGGCCAGGCTGGTCTCAAACTCCTGACCTCAGGTGACCCACCTGCCTCGGCCTCCCAAAGTGCTGGGATTATAGGCATGAGCCACTGTACCTGGCCCATCTTAGGTTTAACTTTTAAGTTTGTATTTCTCTGAGCTTATATACCAAGTGTCGGTGGAGAGTGTTGACCTGGAAGTCCTGTGATTGGCAGGGGACAACCAACTTAGCATTACAAACTGATTGTGGACCAATCTGAGAGTGGCTAATTGATGTGCAAGCAATTCAAAGTTGATTGCACATGTATATGTCTATGTTTCAGATATATATATATGTGTGTGTGTGTGTGTGTGTATATATGGAATATTGATAATGTTTGTGAAGGAGTCGAATATTCTGAAGGAAAGTTTTTTTATAGAATTAAATTTTGATGCTGCCACTGTAAAATTTCTATGTTACCCACTGATTGCTGTCATTTTCCAGATGACTTTTACTTTTAACAGATGTTTATCTGATTACTCTTGGTGCTTTTACACTATACCTGTTTTGTTAAAATGTGAAATAAAAACAAAAACAAAAACACAGAATAACCAGTTAAGTCCCTAGTTAAACCACCATTTGCATTTCTCCCACAGAGTATGAATCCAGTTTATTTAATATAAAGTGTTTTAACTGAATAAGAAAATAATATAATTGGTGTATGTATAATTAGCTAGAATCAATAATTTATTTCCCCGACTTGGTGAGTTAAAGTTGCTCTATATTAATGAGTTGTAAATACATTATTTGAATGTATTTGGAGATTGCAGAATTTAGTGTAAACTAATGTTCAAGTCATAGTGGTTGTTTTAACAATAGTCTAACAAATTTTATTATGTATTAAGATGTTGAAAACAAGGCATTCTGGCTTAAAGAATAAAGAGATAAAAAGCTTTCCTTTATTATTAATCTTGTTCATAAGAGACCTGTGTTGTAGGCCGGGTGCAGTGACTCATACCTGTAATCCCAGTACTTTGGGAAGCTGAGGTGGGCAGATCACTTGAGGTCAGGAGTTCAAGACCAGCCTGGCCAACATGGTGAAACCTGGTCTCTACTAAAAATACAAAAATTAGCTAGGTGTGGTGGTGTGTTGTCTGTAATCCCAGTTACTCAGGAGGCTGAGGCAGGAAAATTGCTTGAACCCAGGAGGCAGGGGTTGCAGTGAGCTGAGATCGCACCACTGCACTCCAGCCTGGGTGATGGAGCAAGACTCCATCTAAAAAAAGGAGATCTGTGTTGCTTAAGCCTGCCTTTATCATGAGCTTTAAATTAATTAAAATATGTTAACTTTTTTCTTAGTTCGTGTCATTTTTTTCCACAAACCTAGATTATTTAATGCTGGTGATTTAAAATACCTTACATGGTTGATATTTAAGTATATGTTATGGAAATAGTTCAATTAAAATTATCTCTTGATTTTTCATGCCAATAGGAGGCAGAATATAATGGATATGGAGAAAACAGCCACAAAATAAATTAAATTTTAGGTTTCATACACAAATTTTCACAGCAGATTTACTTTTGTGTATTCTTTCTATGGAAGAAAGATATAATATTATGAAATGTTTGAGGATTGTGAGCTAAATGACAACTGGTTAAAGTAGTATAGAAACATACCTGGAGTTTGGAGAAAATAAACTGGGGATTAAAAGTTTTCTGTTAATAGAGAGTTGACTATAATGGTGGTAATAGCTTTGATGAATGAGTTTGATGTTTCACAAGGTTTATTTAATCTGTTTTCTTTGTGTCTCCCTAATTGAAGAATTATGTTTAAGTAACAGTTTTAAAATATAATTAGGAAATAATAAATATTGTCTTCTTCTTTTATTTTTTTCTTCCTCTTCTTTTTTTTTTTTTTTAGGGTATGAGTATTATAGAACAATTAGACCCTGTATCTTTTAGCAATTACTTGAAGAAATACCATAATACTATATGTGGAAGACATCCCATTGGGGTGTTATTAAATGTGAGTATCCTTAGGAAGCCTTGACTTTTAACATTTGGTCATATGATATTCCAAAATATTATCATTGTGATACAATGGCATCATTGGTTTTATGTACCTATGGTCAAGTTTCTTTTTAGTATCTTTAATATAATTTGGAGTTCCATTGCTTTTGGTTACTTGAATAAAGTTATTTATCATTGGAATACAGTTCAATACTTTCTGTTAAATACAAAAAGTTATTTAGAATAGAGACCCACATTTTCTCTTGACTCTTAGTTCCAATATGCTCTTTATAAATACAAACCAAAGTGACCTCTTAAGAGATATGGTCTTATTAATTTTTTGGTTTTATTTACTGGTCTAGACTCTATAAAAAATAAGTGGAAGATTCTGCTCTTAAACTTTAAATGTTCATAATGTAATAAAGCAAGACAGATGATGTGTGTTTTTCTCATTAAAACAAAAATAATGTTTATTTCAGTTAAGGAATGGTAAGAGTCAGAAGTTTCGGTTAGCTGGATTTTAGAAAAAGAAATAGCATTTTTTTCTTCTAATTAGGAAAACTATTAATTTCTTGAATGAAAATATGACATTAATTAAGAAAGAAGAAAGTGTATACTCAGGAATGGGAGGAGAAAGTAACAATGGGCTTATTTGGAGAGGCAGGGAAATAATGGAGAAGATAATGTAGTCCAGAATAGACTAAGTTAGGACCTTAAGTCCAGTATTATTTTAATGTGATTTGAAAGGTAATATATTGTGGGTTTTTAAGAAGGGTTTTTCTTCTAAGCTGTATTGATTGACTCAAAGAAAAGCTTTTCAAGAACTTAAACTAATTTTTGAAAATTGAAGCTAGAATAAACTGTACTAATTTCCTAAAATCTGAATTGAATCAAATAAAATTTGTATTATAAAGTAAATGCTGAACCAATCGACAATTAAAGTAAAAATCCTAGCATATACCTTTTAGATTTGGATTTTAATTTGTATACATTTCAAATTTAGTCAAAGTCAGATAAAGACTCCGACGTCTTAAGACAGAAGTGGCCAGGGATTTGGTTTATACGGTAAAGAGAAATATATTTAAAAAGTTAAAAAGGGTTTAAAAAATGGCCTTATTACAGGGAGAGGGAGGGTAAATGATGACTGATACTTAATTATCAAAAAACAAGATTAGAAGTTATTTGAGAAAATGATAAGGAATTCTTTTTTTTCTATTTTAATATGATGCAACAAGAGAAATTCAAGAAACAAAAGAGCAAAAGAGATAATCTAGGCTTCAGCTGTGAAGTGGACAAAGTCAAACCGCAAACACATTGAGTGCCCAGTTTTTTATGTGATGTGTGTCCTAACCAAATTTTTCTTTTTTCTAGGCTATCACAGAGCTCCAGAAGAATGGAATGAATATGAGTTTTTCGTTTTTGAATTATGCCCAGTCGAGCCAGTGTAGAAACTGGCAAGACAGTTCAGTGAGTTATGCAGCTGGAGCACTCACGGTCCACTGAAGCTCTGAATCCTCAGGGATGCCACCTGCACATTCTCATACTCTGTCCGGGGTCCCAGCCTAGCCTTTACCACGATACTGGTCCTGGTTTGGGGGGATTCTGAAACCTCAAACTAATAGAACTTTCTTCTCTTTTTTTCTAGTAGGTGTAGTCCTTCCTTAATTTCAACTCATTAAAAAATGCTTTATAGTTTAGGGCAGTGGAAGGAAGGCTGGCATCAAAATATTTTGATCAAAAAAGATGACAATGTAAAGGCTCAGTTGTGGCAGACAGTTTTTTGAAAGTAACTTGTAAAGCATTTACCATATCCTAAATTTGCACTCTTTGCAGACTTGTGCACATATATTCCGCTTTCAGAATAGTTTTGCAAATTGTACACAAACAAACAAAAAGGTGGAAGCTTTTTAATAAAGAAATTGCATTTATAAATGATCTGTATTAGAATATAATAAATCTCCAGTTATAGTCAATTACTACCCATGTTGTACAACAGATACCTTCTATTTTAGTTGCTAATAAAGGGCTACACAACTCAAAATAGTCTGATTTAAACTTATTGCTCTGTGGTATATATGAAAATTGTTTTTTATTAATTCCATCTCAGAATTTTTGTTAAAAATGGTAAACCTCAGCTCTTATGTAAAAATATATTAGGATGTATTTTATATTTTATATATTTGTATGATTTTTTTAAATCAGAAATTAGAATCATATGATCTTAAAGTTAACTTTTTAAATTACATGCAGTTTGCCTTTTTGTCTGTGACATCCCTTTGTGTCATTACTATATTGTAACAGAATATATATTCAAGATTGGTAAAAGAACGTAGATGTAATCCTTGACTTCAAAGATCATGTTTGATAGTCTGCAAATGAGGAAACATTGAAGAGTGTTCTTAGTGTTTTTCAAATCATTGCAGACCTTACACTGCTGTGCTTTTTTAATGCTTTAAGCAGTTTGACTCTTTTACTTGAATTTTTAGCCAGAGATCATTAACATCATCAACAACAACAAGCCACTGGATTTTCTTATGGTTACACAATTTTTTTTGTCATGATTTTTGGTGCGGCTCTTCCAACTAAAATAATGGTATGATGTTGTATTTCTTTCTTTCTTTAGCATAGACCAATTCTAGTCACTTTCGCCAAAAAAAAAAAAAAAAAAAAAAAAAAGATATAATTTAGTTAATAATTCAGTTACCATGTATGTACTGCATTATACCTATTTTAACCTAACAGTGTCTACATTATATTAGAGAGTGTTTATATCTCCAGTGTTATGCCAGAGTAGCACAATTTTTAGATGCCTTGCACCAATTTTATTTAAAGATTTATGTTTCTTATTTATTAAATATCAACTTTCTATACTCGAGTGAAATAAAATAATGTTACCTTTTAGATTCAAAGTCGCCCACCTATGTATGTGTGGAAATTATATTCTTACACATTAGTGATTTATTTTCCGTAATTTAGATACACTTTTTAGTACTATTAATATTTATTTCTTGTTTAATATGAACTATAAAATTTTAAAATGGACAACAGTGAATTTTTAAAATAATGTTTTCTGAGTATAAGACTAATACATGATTATTTTAGAAAATTTGAAAATTACTGAAAAGTTATAAAGAGAAAAAATTATCTGCAATCTCACTACCCAGAGATAACCCTGTTAATATTTTTCTGTATTTCTTTTCAGTCTTTGTCTGTGCTATTTCTATGTATGAGTGTGTATACATGTGTTTGTGTGTGTGTGTAATAACAAACTTGAGATTATACTGACCATATAGTTATGTACCCTGTTTTTTATAACCTAACTTCATACATATTTACCCATGTCTATGAAAATGTGACTTTTAAAAATGGCTGCCTAATATTCTATTGTATGAATATGCCACAATTTAACTACTTCTCTCTTTGGATATTAGGTTGTTCTAATCTTTCACCATTATAAATAATAGTGGGATAGACATCCTTGTTTGTAAAATTTCATCTCTATATTAGACTCTTTAGGATATACTCATGTACATGGAATAAGTGGTTTAGACAGTGAGAACTTTTTAGGCTCTTTAAAATATTTCCAAGTTATAACCCTTTAGAAAGATTGTACTAAATTAACAATGTATGAGTACCCATCATTCTGCCCCTTCACCAGTATCATTATTTTTTTAATCTTTGACAGTTGGTTAACATAACAATCGGTTGTTTCTTTGACCATTCTAATAAGAGTTGCTTTATAATGGCCGGGCGCGGTGGCTCACGCCTGTAATCCCAGCACTTTGGGAGGCCGAGGCGGGCGGATCACGAGGTCAGGAGATCGAGACCATCCCGGCTAAAACGGTGAAACCCCGTCTCTACTAAAAATACAAAAAATTAGCCGGGCGTAGTGGCGGGCGCCTGTAGTCCCAGCTACTTGGGAGGCTGAGGCAGGAGAATGGCGTGAACCCGGGTGGCGGAGCCTGCAGTGAGCCGAGATCCCGCCACTGCACTCCAGCCTGGGCGACAGAGCGAGACTCCGTCTCAAAAAAAAAAAAAAAAAAAAAAAAAAAGAGTTGCTTTATAATTAATTATTTTTGTCTTTCTATAATTTTATAGTTGATTGATTTTTAAAAAGACAAGAGGGTTGCCTAAGTTGGGTGGACTATAGTACAAGTATGGTTCTTGCACTTTTAAAACTGTAGAAGCTGGACACGATGGTATGCACCTGTAGTCCCAGCTACTTTGACTGTGGAGGCAGGAGGATCACTTGACAGTTTGAGACCAGCCTGGGCAATGTAGTGAGCCCCCCAAAACCCTCTAAACAAACAAACAAATCTGCAGAATATTTCAGCATCACTCTACACTTTCCTAGAATATCAACATACCTGATAATGAAGTAGAAAGAGTTCCAAATTGATGATTGAGTGTTGGGTTCTAGTTCTATTTCTGCCACTAATTAGTTCTCTGAACTTAAGTGTTTCATGTCATATTGAAACTTTCTCATTTGTAAAATGTGGAGGGGATCTCTTAAGTGCTTTCTAGTTTCAAAGTACTTTGATACTGTGACTTTATTTTGTAGAGGTTCTGGTGTCATTTATTTTTAATAGCTACATGAATAATGTAGAGATACTATCTTTTGATTTCAACTTCACATACATGGAAATGAAAGTCTTGTTATTTAACACAAAAGGAAATTTAATTTGCATTATTTAATGCAGTTAATATTACCTAAAATGTTGAACTTAAGCTTTTCTACTTTAAGTGCCTTTAAAAGTTTTGTATTTGGAATCTAAAATATAAAGGAAATTCTTATGTAGCTCTATACAGTTGCTTCTTTATTATATAGTTTTGAGTGTTTTGTAGCAACTTTTTTTTTTTTAACCTTAGATTGCACAGAGCAGCATATTCATGGATTCTTCACTATTCCGCTAGTGAATCCTTGAGAAATGTATGTTAAAGATTAGCTCACTGAGCAGGTAAGTAAGTGCTCTGTCTTGGGTGGGCAACAAATCTTCATACAGAGTAGGATAAAGAACTATTCAGATATACCAGTATTTGTATTTAGATATTCCCATTTAGATGGCTGGTGTTCTGAGCTAGTAAATGGTTAATGTTACAGATCTTAAATATTGCTTTGGTAGCAAATAGTTTATTCCCTGAGTTTTCAGGTTGGTAAATGTTTCTGTAAAAGACCAGATAGTAAATATTTTGGGCTTCACAGGCCATATAGTCTGTCCTTACTATTTTCCTCTGCAATTGTAGCACAAAAGCCACCATAGACAATGTGTAATCAAATGAATGTGAATGTGTTCTAATAAAAGTTTATTTACACAAAGATGGTGAGCTGGATTTGGCCTGTGGGCCATAATTTGCTGTCTCCTGTCATAGATGGTGCCGTTTGTAGTTCAAAAGTTGGCAAATAATCTAAACTGCAAAAAGCGGTGGTAAGTTTTTGCCATCACAATCCTGTCTTATTTTGATGTAGTCAGATTGACTGGTTGGAGTGTTATTTAGGATCATAAAGGTAAGTGGGAAATGGGTATGGGAAACTAAGAAGTCTTGGAAATTAGTGTTGAATAACTTTGAAGCCCTTTTATTTGCTGGAATCCATTGGGAGGTTTACTTTGCTGCAATAAACTAATCAAAAAAGTGATCGGTGGAGCTTGTGATTGGTTGTTGCAAATTCTTTAAATTATTCTAAGTGCTTGGCTACCTAGATGATAGCAGAAGCTAGATCAGATGAACCTTTTTACCTGAGTATTTTAGGACACTAGACCAACATTTTTAAAAAGGACTGTGAAATGTAAAACTTAATTTTGCCGTGTAAGGACTTTTGAAAAGACAACTACTATCTTCCCTTACCATTTTATTTTAAAAGTGACTCCCAATATTTAGGAAGGACTTAAACTCAGAGTAATAGAGTAATTTAACTTGAATAACTTTAAGTTAATGAAAAAATTACTACACTGGTATTTTCTCATTTACTCTGCATCACTGAAAAATTTATCGAGTTAATTAGTCCATAGACTGGCATTTGGGAAGTGCTATAATACAGTTGTTGAAAGAACTAGTGTACTTACAAAGCTGATATTGACTAGTAGATTAATAAGCCACATGTACACTGTTACTGAGATTTAAGACGTTTTTATTGTGTTAAATTGTAAGTGCCATGTATTAAAGGGGACACTAAGAACTATAGTGTCTATAAGGAATGATAAAAGGCTTTGATAGTCTAGAGAGTGAGATGTGGTTGAAGAAATTGGTGAGTCTTATTTTTGAGAAGGTAAGTTTAAAGATAGGGAGTTTTCTTCAGATTGAGTGACCTTCATATATGAGAAAGAATAGTATTTGTTCTGTGTTGTTCTGGGTAGAAAAATTATAAGAAATGGGAGCTTCTGGTTTTACGTTGAATATTCTCTAATGAGAATTCTTTCCTTTCCTTTTCCTTCCTCCCTTTCCCCTCCCTTTTCTCTCCCTTCCCCTTCCCCTCCCCGTTCCCTATCCCTCCCCTTCCCCCTCCCCCTCCCCTCCCTCTCTTTCCCCGCCTCTCCCCCAGTCTCGCTCTGTTGCCCCAGGCTGGAGTGCAGTGGCATGATCTCTGCTCACTGCAACCTCTGCCTCCCAGGTTCAAGCAATTCTCCTGCCTCAGCCTCCTGAGTAGCTGGGATTACAGGCGCCCGCCACCATACCTGGCTAATTTTTGTATTTTTAGTAGAAACGGGGTTTCGCCATGTTAGCCAGGCTGGTCTTGAACTCCTGACCTCAGGTGATCTGCCTGCCTCGGCCTCCCAAAGTGCTAGTATTACAAGTGTGAGCCACTGCACCCAGCCTCTTTCTTTCTTTCCTCCTTTTTCCCTTTCTTTTCTTTCTTTCCTCCTTTTTCCCTCTTTTCTTTCTTTTCTTCCTTCCTCCCTCCCTCCCTCCCTCCCTCCCTCCCCACCTCCCCCCAATCCCATTTCTCTCTCTCTCTGTCTCTTTCTTTCAAGACAGGGTTTCACCATGTTACCCAGGTTGGTCTCAAACTCCTGGGCTCAAGAGATCCACTCGCCTTGTATAATGAGAATTTCTAATAATGAGAATTTTACTTTGTCCTCATAAAAGCATTAGAAGTATTCAGATAAAAGCTAGATTGGTGATTATCGAAGTAGAGTCCCTGGACTATCAACATCAGTATCACCTAGAGATGTGTAATTATGATCACCAAGCTAAAAAAAGCTAGTATACAAGTAAAATGGAACTTATTTGTATAAAACTGTTGAGAAGTTATTTTTAAATCAAAATTGATTTTGACCATTTAACACTAACTTTAAACACAGAGATTATAAATTGATGATTATTGCTTTATTGTTACTAGGGTAACACTGGTGTACCAGTTACTGGGGGAACCTTAGAATAATTAATTATTCTGTTTTAGTTAAAACATTTAAATATAGGGCAGAGTTCTACCATTTCCTAAAATAAAGTTGGTCTTTGAATGAATGACTCAATTAAACAGAGCTGCTTTTTCAATCTAAAACACAGCCATATCAGTTGGCAGAAAAGGAACTTGAAGGACTGGTTTTTTTATACCTATTAATGTCAAAATATTAGGATAACCTGGAGCAGCTGTCACATAAGACGTTTTCCTATCTACTTCCTGTTCTAGTATCCCACCACATACCAGTACATACAGCTGAGTGGCATGGCATACTGTCATCTATAGCTATGCTACACATTTTGACAAAGCTCTCTCAAGTAATGCTGATAACTGGAACCTCTACCTCTTTAAAGTCACTGTTGAGGATGGATTTGTTTGCCTATCCTGTCTTCAAGTATTCATTAGTACTATGTAAAGAACTTTGGAGTTTCAGATTTGTCATTTATTCTAGGGTTCTCTGATGATTCCAGAGTGGTTTGTATCCAGGATGTATCACATTTACTGTGTATGTGTGTGTACTCTGTGTGTGTGTGTGTGTGTGTGTGTGTGTGCGCGCGCGCGCGTGCGTGCGCACATGTATTTAATTCTAATGCAAAATTTTGGCAATCACTATAAAAATAATGAAAAGAATTTTAAAAGCCAGTTTGTCTGAGTTTGAAAGGTATGCTATAATGCAGTTGTTTTTTTATTATTAATTGTAAATTATGTTCAAATGAACATTTCTCACTGCAAAGTTCAGTTTGTAATTTTATTAGATGTAGTCATATTTTTTCCCTGTCATCCTAATAATGAAACCAAAGAGAATCTAAACACCGTTATTAAGCTATTGAAGGCCAAGAGAGGCAACTATAAGCAGGATTGAATTCATTGGGCATGCAGCGAAAGCACATTTTATTTAACTTTAAAAATTTTTTAATTTGACTACATCTAATAAAATTAAAAATTTTAATCTTTAAATTGGTCTTTGTAAACTTCTGAAAAAATTTTAATATTTTTGTCTGATATTCTGAATTAGTGAATGTGATGTTACATTTTAGTAGAAAGTAGTAAAACGATGAAAACAAAAATTAGATCATACTAAGTTTTGCGAGTTTTTAAACATTAAATCCTTAGACTTGAATTTGACTTAATAAAAGTATTGTTAACTATTTTATAAATGGAAGTTTTTTTCTGAGAATTTTTTTTTCATTTAAAATTTTTTATTTGGCCAGACACGGTGGCTCATGCCTGTAATCCCAGCACTTTGGGAGGCTGAGGTGGGAGGACTGCTTGAGTCCAGGAGTTTGAGACCAGCCTGAGCAATATAGTGAGACCGCGTCTCTACAAAAAAAAAAAAATTAAAATTAAAATTAAAAAATGAGCCAGGTGTGGCAGCATGCACCTGTACTCTCAGCTACTCAGGAGGTTGAGGTGAGAGGATCGCTTGAGCCCGAGAGGCGGAAGTTGCTGTGAACTGAGATTGCACCACCACAGACTCCAGTCTGGGTGACAGAGCGAGACTGTCTCAAGAAAAAAAAATTATTATCAATTTGAATTTAGCACAGAATAGATATTCAGTTGCTGTTTGTTCAGTTTCAATGAATTGAATTTTGAAGGAAGGAGAACAAAAGATAATCTTCATGTGAAGTGTTTTCTAAAGGTCAGGAAAGCATAAACCTTTTCACTGGAAGCATCTTTTAATTGGCTTTTTTCATTTTCAATGATTATGGAAATCATTGTCCTCAGTAACTTTAAGGTAGGGTAGAATTTAATATTCCTAGGCTGTATATTTGATGCTAAATGAAATAAATTGTAATGTAAGTTATCTGGTACAATTGAACCTGTTGGCCCATGATTCCTAGCTCATATTTGGCAATGTCCGATGGTGTTTACCATTACTTGAAGGTGTTGAAAAATTTTTTAAAGTTAAATAAAATGTGCTTTAGCTGCATGCCCAATGACATGTCCAGCCAACTCTCAAGTAAAAAGATACTTATGGAGTGTTAGAAATTCTGGACTAGAATCTGTTTACAACTTTGCTGGTGAGTTGCTACTGGTTTGCTAGAACGAGTCACTCTTCCTTTCTAGATTAGAGTTTATTTCTTTATTAATGTGAGTTAGAATTGAATAATATTACTTCTAAGGGTCTTTCCACCTTTGACTTTTTAGGACATGAATGAAAACACCTTATTTATTTAATGTATTGTACTTTAACATTTTTAAATCTGTTTCACAACATTTCCCCTGCTCTGTTAATCTCAAGGATTACAGGCCAGACATTGTTACCTTAATTTTACTGTTACAGTATGTGAGACACATACAAATTGCATAACTTCCTTTTGTTTATGTAGCTAGTTAGTATCAGATATAGGATAAACATTCAGTTCTTCTGATTTATTTATTTTGAGACAGTCTTACTCTGTTACCCATGCTGGAGTGCAGTGGTGTGATCTCGGCTCACTGCAGCCTCTGCCTCCCACGTTGAAGCTATTCTCATGCCTCAGCACACAGAGTAGCTGGGATTACAGATGTGCGCCACCATGCCCAGTTAATTTTTGTGCTTTTAGTAGAGATGGGGTTTTGTCATGTTGGCCAGGCTGGTCTTGAACTCCTGGCCTCAAGTGATCCACCCACTTCGCCTCCCTTAAGCTGGGATTACAGGCATGAGCCACCAACATGTATTTTAAATATGGTAGAGTATTTAAAATATGGTATAGTATTTAACTTTTTAAAAGAGTAGATCTAGTAGAAAGATTTATTTCTAATAACCATATAGTAAGAGTAGATCTAGTAGAAAGATTTATTTCTAATAACCATACAGTACTTAACCATAGGGTGGTTATGTAAGTGACTTAAGGACAAAACTGATTATCTATTTTCATTGAATTGATTTAAAACATGGAATTTAGTTCAACCAAAATTGTAGGTTATTTGGTAGTTGGACCCAACTTTCTCATTTCTTACCAGGACCTGCTTATTCACCATCAGGGAGCAGGATTAGGCTTGCCTAACATTGATTTTAAGGATGAGTTAAGTTTCTGGATACTTTTATCAAAGAGTATTCTGTGATCTTTGTTAAAGCAAAACTTTTTGTGATTTTATTAAAGATTAAGGAATATGGAATTTATAAATTGAACAAGCTCTACACTAAATTGATTACATTGTTGTAATTCAAAAAATGAGGAGGGTATGCAGTCAGTTCTGAGTTGGTTTCCTCTATGGAGTATTCTGTTTGAATTTTTTGTTGCTTTTGTCTGCGTTTCTTACTTGCAGCTTTGATAACATGTTTTTAAAATTGGAAATACTGGTTTTTATGTTTTCTAAGAATCGATGTGGGAAATGTGTATCAGTTTTCTTGTTTCTTTTCCTGTGTAAAAATTGTGATTTAGTGTCTCAAGTATATTTTTTATTTATTTGGTTTTTGAGGTGGAACATAGATGAAACTGAAGGAAGCTTATAGCTCTATTTATAGAGTCACTCTAAGATTAGCACACACAAGCATTTTCCCATAAGAACAACAGATCATTTAAAGAATATATTTAATTAGTTACCCTGGGTTCAGTGCGGTGGCTTACGCCTGTAATCTGAGCACTTTGGGAGGCCGAGGTGGGCAGATCACCTGAGGAGTTCAAGACCAGCCTGGCCAACATGACAAAACCCTGTCTCTACTAAAAATACAAAAATTAGCCAGGTGTTGTGGCATGCGCCTGTAATCCCAGCTACTCGGGAGGCTGAGGCAGGAAAATCACTTGAACCTGGGAGGCAGAGTTTGCAGTGAATCAAAATCATGCCACTGTACTCCAGCCTGGGCAACAGTGTGAGACTCTGTCTCAAAAAAATAATAATAATTAGTTATCCTGGTTATAAAGTAACATCTTTAAACATATCTTGCTCTCTATATTATATGTATCTATATATCTATGTATATAGATATATATTGGTGTAGATAGAGTCCCTTTAATTACCTTGTTGTACCTTCAGGTTCTGCTATGTTCTCTTGAATATATGGCAGGACATTTCTTGACCTTTGAGGTTGTATTTGTTAGAAATGGTCAAAGATCAGCTGTGTGATTAGATTGGATAATAAGGTTTAAGGGAGGAATATGTTAGTTATAAAGAATTAAGTTGCCTTTCTCCTGGGACATACGTGCTTTAAAATGTCCCTACCCCAAAGCGCCACAGTGGCACATTGGAATAAGCTTACAGTCTAAGTAACTGTTAATATCACTTATACTATCGAAAATTAATCTTGTTGCTTTTTAGACATGTTATATCCAAATAACTACCTAATTTATTACTAAATTCATAGTTACTTGACATCTCAAATATCTCAGTATGGTAAATTGAAAATCTGTGTAAAAACCAGAGACAGTTTAAAAAATGTGTTCAGAAAACCAGCTCAGAACACTAAATCTTTTTTTTTTTTTTTGAGATGGAGTCTCACTCTGTTGCCCAAGCTGGAGTGCAGTGGCACAATCTCTGCTCACTGCAACCTCTGCCTCCTGGGTTCAAGCGATTCACCTGCCTCAGCCTCCCGAGTAGCTGGGACTACAGGCATGTGCCACCATGCCTGGCTAATTTTTGTAGACATGGGGTTTTGCCACGTTGGCCAGGGAAGTCCTGGCCTAAAATGATCTGCCCCGCTCCGCCTCCCAAAGGCAGGGGATTACAGACAAGCATGAGCCACCACACCCAGCCTGAACACTAAATATTTTCTATAAGGAGTGTTAAGATAGAATTTCCTCTTAAAGTCTTAGCTGGAAGCTGAATCTATGTATTAAATGTGAACAGTCTTATGATAACTTGTAAAACAAGCCTGAAAAAGTCTATTCTTTTACAAATATTTCATCACCACAGGCCACTTATACAATACCTCTATACTAAGTATTGAAGTACAACCAGGTCTTTATTATGTTTAAAAAGTGCCTCCTTCCTTTTATTAATGTCAGTTGACAGTGATGTATCTGTGAATAACAAACAAGGTTAGTCTATTCCTAGAAGCTCTACTTGGTACAGTTGTCAGAGAAAATTAACTTGGATGAAACCATGGTGCATGTTTTAACAGTTATAATAGTTTATAAATTTATATTTAAAAAAGCAGACCTCCATAATTGCTATAGGTAAATTTCTAATTTCTGGTTTTCTTTGTTATTTTTGTGTTAGAAAAAATACCATACCTTGCGGTAATCTAGTCCCTGATATGTGTGTGTGTGTGTGTGTGTGTGTGTGTGTCTGTGTGTGTGTGTGTGTGCCATTTAAAAAACCTTCACATTTATTTATTTTTAATAACAGGCAATTTTTAACTAAATGTTTACATTATTGACTAAAGATAGTTAAACCAATTGTTAGTACTAAAAGAATTTATGCTGAAATGTAGGTTTGGGGACTCAGTGTCTACAGGATATCATGTTTCACTCAGGTATTTACAGTAGAGCTATTATTAGATTCAAAATTGCCCGATTCTAATTTATATTTTAAGTGTAACTTAGAGATTTTTGCATTATTTACAGCTTTATTTTCACAATTCATTTATGCTTATTTTTTAAATGGAGACATTAACTTTTAGGTGATAGAAATGTAGGTAAACGTGTGGTATTTAAGTCATTACTAGTTTATTACTAGAAAGGCACTTTGGTACAATATGTGATATCTGCTTTTATATGGTACAACCAGATGTTCTTTTGATTTTCCTTGGAATTTCACCTTTTTAAACCGAAGAAACATTTGTTCATACGTAATAGCTTGAGGTTTCTGTGCCCAACTCACGTGACAAAATGGCTTTAGAAAAATATTTTTTAGCAGTAATTTTATAGTAATTTCAATAATATATGGTAACAGAAAGCTTGTCAGTTAGAATCTTTAGCTTTTCTTGCCAGCTTCTACCCAATTCTTCCCCCTCAACCCCCGACGCTTGTTTTTAGTGGTAACATTGCTACCACCGTCTCTACAAAGTTAGGATAACTAATATTTGAAAGTGGAGTTGTTTTCAACAAACTTTAGTATTTCTGCCCAAGATGAACAAGTATAATGATGGGGATACTTTACTTCTCTCATAACAGAGCTTGCAGTGCTCAATATTAAAGAATAAAATTACAGACCTTTACCAAGTTGTGTACTCATTTGCAAATCAGCTGAGGAGCACTCTCAAGAAAGTAACAGATGGATTGTTTTAAAAAAAGAGAGACACTGAAATTTTTGATCATGGGAATTTTGTCATGTTCAATGAAAAGTAATGTTCTGTCAAATGAAAATAATGAGGTTCATAAATGGGAATATATAAGACAAAAATATGAATAGCCAAAATACGTTTAAAAAATCTAAACTATTGAACATAAATTAAATTGGTTATCCCTGGGAAAAGATACTGTATATTTTAATGATCTCTGTGTATTTGGGAACTATAGCAGTAAATGCAAAGATACATCTTGCCTGTCTCTCCCGGTTTTAAGTTAATTGACACAGATATTTCAATAGTAGTATTACTCGTTAAAATTCTGCAATACTTATTACCTGGTATCATTTAAAAAGATATTTTCTCTAAGATAAAAGATACTAATGAAGATAGAAGACACCAATCTGTTTCCATCCTCCTTTTCTCTCTTGCATTTTCCCTTCTGTGTATTAGAAACAATAACAAAGGCCTGCTTTTATAGTCTTGACAAATCGTTTCTTACCTGAAAGGAACTTGGGTTTTCTCTTTTTAAGCTAGCTCTTAGTCTGTAGCTTCTGATAGCAAGTAATCTCTTCATTCTCTAGTATCCTTTGCCATGACTTAAAAATGGAGACTATAGCTTAATTGATTGAATACTCTGACCTAGCAGTCCCATGTTTGAGTGCAGGGATGGTGTTGGGCATTTTATCCCCTGGTAGTGATATTCTAGAATGCTTTATGTTCCTACCCCCTAAAAAATCCTCCAAATCCTTCATATTCTCAAGTAGCACTTATAACTTTAGCATTATTGCCTAACACAACAGTTCTACCATTAATCATACTACATGTTCATCCTTCTAAATGTCATTATCAATTTAGGTAGCCTGTAAGAGTATTGAATTTAAGGAAAAGGGTGAAGGGAAGATAAAACCATTTATATAAAAGTGCTGGGTTTCATTGCTTGTGGTAAATAATGTTTTAATTTTTTGCCAAGTGAAAACAAATCTTTAAAAGGAAAGGAAAACAATTATTTTATGGAAATATTTTGTAAACATGTATGTAAAGACATTGTTTTCTTTGCCACCAACAAATTGTTAATAAAAAAGTTTTTTTTTAGTTTCTTCTTGAATGAGGTTCCTTTGTGTATAGTAGGGCAAATTATTCAGGCCTTAAAAAAAAAATCTTCAATCTGAGTTTATTTAATCAGATGTCAACAGAAAGGTTGCAGCTTCTTCCATTTTGTTGTTATTTTCAACCAATGTCTTTTCCCTCTTTTTAAGAAAAAAGTCATTGTTTTTTAAATACTATTTTTGGATGAATTATGTCTGTAGAATGGTTGACCAACAGCATTTGCTAAACTATTGAAAAACTAATGATTGGTTGGTCATCTCTATCTATGATGTACTTTCATTCATGAAAACCAATGAGTTCTCATGATAAATAACTCTTGGAAATAGAAACTCTGCTTACTAACATGTACTTGCTGAGGGTAATAATCCGGCATTATACATACAGTATGTGAGGGGAGGGGAATTGCTTATCCTAACAGTGTTTTCCCGCATTCTCACACATTGTACTCATCATTGTAAGTCTTTCTAGAGTATTGTTCTTGATTTTGGACCCCAACATAAAGAGGAGAAAAAGTTCAAGGTAAGTGACAGACATGAACATCAATTTGAGGAAATTGGATTTGGAGGAAAAGTTAAGTAAAAAACGTTGAATCTAAAAGAGTTGACTGTATCTTTATATTTGAGAAGGAACATGCTCTATGTGATGGTGAAGAGCTGTTTTCTGTTTTAGTCAATAGTTTTAGGCTGAGTGCGGTGGCTTACACCTGTAATACCCACAGTTTAGGAGGCTGAGGTGGGAGGATTGATTGAGGCCAGGAGTTCGAGACCAGTCTGGAAAACAAAGACCCCATCTCTACGAAAACATAGATAGATAGATAGATAGATAGATAGATAGATAGATAGATAGATAGATAGATAGATAGAGATAAAGATAGATGATGGAGATTAGATAGTTTTAAACAGACATTAATGAGTCTGGACCTTGGAAAAAACTTATGCAACTTTAGGAACATAACATCACACAGTCATGGGAAATTTTGGTGAAGAAAAGGGGAGATGACCGTTCATCCGGAATTGTTTAGCTAAATTCTTCCCCAGGAAACTCTTCAGAGATTATGTGATCTTTACAAATTTTTTTTAGCTCAAGGTAGGATTGTAGAATATATTATTAAAGGTAACACCACAAGCCCTTTTGTGTGGTATATGTTGTGGGTGTGGGAGGAAAGCGAGAGAGAATATGTCCCAGAATAAAAGTTTTAGAATCATTACCTTAAGTTCAAATGTATAAACAGAGTGGTCAACTTCATGGTTGATGCTTAGGCCATGTAACATACAATACAAATTATACAAATACTTAGAGATTATATATGTGAAAGTCCTAGACAGTTCAGTGAAAACTGATGTGATATAAAACTACAGCTTTTGAAAATGCAAAATTAAAAATTTTTTTTTTTGGGTAACTACTAGAATCCCTTAGGACCACTATGAAAATTTGGTACAACTGTGCTTAAATGTTTTGAGAACCTACTTTGTCAACCTCAGCATTTTCCTCAGGTTTTAGTTTGGAATTGGTTTCATGTTCTTGATTTTATTCTAATTGGTTTATGTCACATACTTCTTACAAATCTTAATACTAGTTACAATCTGATAACCTACTCTGGGAGAGTGTTTTAGTCCTGAAAATAATCATAAAAAGAATAGGTAAGTATCCTCACTTTACACACTTTAGAAAGTTTAAGTAACTGATTTGATGCCACTTCACCGATAAGTGGCTGAACCAGTATATAAATTTAGATCTTTAAGAGCTATATAGAAAACATGGTGCCCTCTGGTAAGATTTTTCTTTTTAAGTGAAGTTCATTTTCTTCATGGAATAAGATAGTGTAGTTCAGCAAATATTGAGTACCTGCCACATGACAAACTGTATGTTCTTTAAGAACCGTATGAAATTGCTGATATTTAACTGTTGTTTACTTATACAAACTGCAACTTAGTGTGATTCAATCTTATACTTTATGTTATTTAATTCTTACAATAATCCCATTTTTAGATAGATGTTTTCATGGCTTAGAAAACATTTCTGACCAAGAATAGTTTCTATACTTGTGGAGACACTCATAGCCAAAAACTTGGATGGTCTAGGTTCCCTCAGCCCCCCGAAATAAACCTTAGTCTGTTTAAGATGTGTAAAGAATATGCTCTAAGATGACCCCTGATGACTCCTGTGCCTCTTGATGTTTATGACGTTTTGTAATGCCTTCCCCTTGAGTAAATTTCTTCTAATCATCATTGTGGGTATGTCACTTCTTGCTAGCAGACTCTCTCCCTTGCTGGCTTTGATGAAGCAAATTACCATGTTGGGAAAGTCCACACAGCAAGGAACTGAGGGGAGCTTCTGCTCAGCAGCCAGCTAGGCTGATCCATTAAAAAAAGGGAAAGACATTAGGCTTCATTTTTACAACTAATGCTCAATGTCAAGAGACAATGACAAGAATGAGAAGACAAGTCACAAACTGGGAGAAACATTTCAGCGGGGAGTAAGCTTATTCAAGGGCATTTACCTATTAGGGAGGCAGAGTTGGGATTTGAGTCCAGCCTAACTTGCTCCAAAACCAACGTTCATTTCAGTCATTTCAGTTGTTCCCTGAACTTTTTGGAATTTGTGAATCTGGTAAATTTCCTGCTCAATATTTCCTCATTTTGCTGTCTAGGAAGATACCACTTTTTCTCTCCCATTTTCCATATGCCTCGCCTTTCCATATGTGTCAGAGAGCAGTAAATTATTCCTGAAACATCATTTGTCAACCCTTTCTGTTGCTTTCTCTACCCTCCTTTAATTGATATTCCTCTGAATTTCTGTAGCCTGTTTCCCATGCAGTTTTAGTACTCTGTTATTTTCTCTATTAGATTATAAATTTCCTCAACACAGAAGCTTAATGCTTTTATACTTCCTATAGTTGCTGGTCTTGCATTCAACATTTAGTAGAATCAATAATAACTGTGTTTTTTCCCTGAACATGGACTGAGCATAAAACAAGACTTACTCTTGATGCTTTTAGCCGGGTTTAGTGTGGTCTGGTACTGGATACTTTGAAATGGTGACCCCTGCAAATGCCTCCATACTCCTTTCCTTCCTGAGAACGTAAACATTTGGCCATTTAATTCAAGGCATTCACTTTAGCAAGTGTTTTGAGACATTATCTTTGGCTAGAGTCACACAAAAAGTCAAATAAAGAGAAAAAAGAAATTTAAAAAGTTTTGAGGCATTAGCTGGGCACATGGCTCATGCCTGTAATTCCAGCACTTTGGGAGGTGGAGGCAGGCGGATCACTTGAGGCCAGACCAGCCTGGCCAACATGGCGAAAGCCTGTCTGTACTACAAATACAAAAATGAGCTGGGCATGGTGCCGTGCGCCTGTAACCCCAGCTACTCTGGAGGCTGAAGAGGAGAATTACTTGAACCTGGGAAGCTGAGGTTGCAGTGAGCCGAGGTCACACCACTCCATCTTGGGCGACAGAGTGAGATTCCGTCTCGGGGCCGGCGGAGGGAGGAAGGTTTTGAGACTAAGAATAAACTGTTTCTTTCCCCACCAACCAGGCAAATGCTAGCTGATACTGTAAGCTTAGAAGTTTCTTTTATCCACACCTTGGCCATATTCTAACCCATAAATACATTAAAATAAAAATAAAAAACTTCCAGGAAGAAATCAAATATAACATTTTTATTTTAAATGGATAGAAAAAAAGTCACTTATAGTCTCATTCTCCAAAGATTATCACTGCAAATTTTTATTCTTTAATCTTTCTGGTACAGTAGGTCTAATACTTTTTGAGCATACGATGTGTGTGTTTCTATCTTTTTAAAGTAGAATTCCACCATGTATACAGTTTTGTTATTGCAGTTTCTAAACTCAGTTTTTATCTGGGTTTTCTTTCCTGATGTCAGCTTATTTTAGAAAAAATAGCCAATTCAAAGTTTTCTCAGTCAACTCAAGAAAGTGTTCTCAGTCAACTCAGAGACTGTCCCATTCATTCTTTCTTTCTACATGATAACTGTATACAAAAGTATTGACATAACAGCCAAGTGTTAGAAGTATGTCTGGTCCTTGTTTGCCCCTGCTGGATCTTGGATATGACATTTTCTCTATAAATACCTGCTCATATGTTTGCCTTTCCATCTGCTGAATTTGTATTGCTTTTTGTATCCACTGATGTGTTCCATCTTACCCCTAATTGGAACTTGGAGTAACTGCCAATTCTAAATCAACTTATTTGCTGCCTAACTATGCTGAGCTGAGTGAGCTTTTGTCTCTGGACCCTTTAGTCCATCTCTCTGGCACCATGCTGGGCATGGGGCTTCTTGCCATAATTTACTGCTCTCTGGGAAAAGAAACCCTGCAGGCGCACGCCACCATGCCCAGCTAATTTTTGTGTTTTTAATAGAGACAGGGTTTCACCATGTTGGCCAGGATGGTCTTGATCTCTTGATCTCATGATCCGCCTACCTCAGCCTCCGAAAGTGTTGGGATTACAGGCGTGAGCCACTGCGCCTGGCCTGCAATGTTCTTAATGCCATATGTGAAGTAGTGAAGTAGCATAATCTTATTTGAAGATTTACTGTATATTATTATTATCATTGTGTTTTTTTTTTTTGAGACAGAGTTTCACTCTTGTTGCCCAGGCTGGAGTGCAATGGCACGATCTCGGTTCACTGCAACCTCTGCCTCCCAGGTTCAAGCGATTCTCCTGCCTCAGCCTCCCAAGTAGCTGGGATTACAGGCGTGTGCCACCACGCCAGGCTAATTTTTTTGTATTTTTAGTAGAGATGGGGTTTCACCATGTTGGTCAGGCTGACCTCGTGATCTGCCCCCCTCGGCCTCTCAAAGTGCTGGGATTACAGGCGTGAGCCACCACGCCCGGCCAGGAATAATTTTAAAAAGACAGAACTTAATGACTCCAAAAATAGTAAGAAAAGGAAAGAACAAAGTTCATGAGATCAACTATGAAGCAGGTAAGATTTTAATCCAACCTTATTTATATTTCTGAAAATGGTCTAAACATCACAAAAGGTAGATATTATCAGATTGGATAAAAAAGGAATACCTAATTATATGCCAACATTAATCCAAAGAATGCTGGAGGGGGCTATATTAGTTCCATGAAATATAATTCAAGATCAACAAATATTACCAGGAATAATGGAGGACATTTCATGTTGGCAATCTCATTAACTCATCATGAGGAAATAAGAATTTTAACTCTTACATACCTAATAAAAGAGCTTCAAAACACATAAATTAAAATCTGATAGAATGGAAAAGAGAATTAGACAAATCTATAGTCACAGTGGGTGGGATATTTCAAAAAGTCTTATAATTGATGATTTGAAAGAAAATTAGGGTCTAGAAGACCTGAACACTTTAACAACTTAATCTAATTGACATAATTCGTTTAGCCAAACAATAGAACACACATTCATTTCAAGCTTACATGGAATGTTCATGAAGAAAGACCTAATATGCTGGGCCATAAAACAAGTCTCAAATTCAAGAAGGCCGAAATTATTTAAAGTATTTTATCTGATCACACCAAAATTAATGAAAATTAATAACAAAATTATCTGGATGAATGTCTGACATTCTGATGTTAAACAACTTTTTTCCCCCCAAGACGGTCTCCCTGTGTTGCCCAGGCCGGAGTGTAGTGATGCAGTCATGGGTCACTGCAGCCTTGATCTGCTGGGCTCAGGTCACCCTCCTGAGTAGCTGGGACTACAAGCATATGCCACTATGCCTGGCTAATTTCTGTACTTATTGTATAGATGGGGTCTCCCCATGTTTCCCAGGCTGGTCTCAACCTCCTGAGCTCAAGCGTTCTGCCTGCTCTGACCTCCCAAAGTGCTGGGATTACAGGTGTGAACCACTGTGCCAAGCCATAAAAATCATATTTTATTATTATTTTTTGAGATGGAGTCACCCAGGCTGGAGTGCTGTGTCACAATCTCAGCTCACTGCAACCTCTGCCCCCTGAGTTCAAGCAATTCTCTTGCCTCAGCCTCCCGAGTAGCTGGGACTATAGGTGTGTGCCACCACACCTGGCTAATCTTTGTATTTTTAGTAGAGACGGGCCATGTTGGCCAGGCTGGTCTCGAATTCCTGACCTCAGGTGATCCACCCACCTTGGCCTCCCAAAGTGCTGGGATTACAGGCATGCGCCACTGTGCCTGGCCAAAAAACAGTTTAAAATAATCCATGAGTCAAATAGGAAATATGAATGGAAAGAAAAAAATTCATGGGATGTAGCTAAAGCAATGCCTATGTTCATTTTAGGAAATAAAAATTTTTAATTATCTAAGTTTCTCTCAGAAATTAGAAAATGAGCAAATTATGCAGATGGAATGTAAAGATAATAGCAGAAATTAATGATGGAGAAAGCAAAATAAATAGAATCAAAGCTGATTTAGTTAAAGATTAGTGCAATTGAAAAATGTCTATCCAGTTACACCAGAAAATGAGGGAAGGCTTAAACAACTAATACCTGGAATGAATGAGGGGATATCACCACAAATTTTATAGGTATCAAAATAATAAGAAAATATACGTAGATGAGACCAATACATTTGGCAACTTAGATGAAATAGATAATTCTTTGAAAGACACAGGTGCCAGAGCTCACGCAAGATTATACAGAACTGGAAAACAGCCTTTTATCTCTTAAAAGAAATTGTTAAATACCTTCTTACCCAGAAAAATTCTTAGCCTGGAAGGGTTCTATGGCAAACTCTACCAAACATTAAGAGAGAATACCAAGTTTATACAAACTCTTTTATCAAATAGAACAGGATGGGACATTTCCCAACTTAATTTATGATTCCAGCATTACTCTGATAACAAAAACCCAGAAAAACCTATTACAAGAACTTGAAACTACAGACCAGTATTCTTCCTGAACTAGAAATAAGAGAGAATTTCCTTAGCCCAATAAAGGATGTCTACAGAAAACCTGTGGCTAATGTCATACTTAGTGGTTAAGACAGAAATAATGGAGAGTTGGCATATTACTGAATTGGAAGACAAAAAAATATTATTCTACCCACATTTATGATAGATTCAATGCATTCTCAATATCCTAACAGGTTCTTAAAAATAGAAATTGACAGGGTGGTTCCAATATTTATATAGAAATCAAAAAGAATAGTCAAAATATTTTTTAAAATTTATTAAAATTTTTATATTTTTTACTTTTTGTTTTTGGAAACAGGCGCCCACTCTGTCACCCAGGTTGGTACGCAGCGGTGCAATCATAGTTCACTGCAACCTTGAACTCTTGGGCTCAAGTGATCCTTCTGCCTCCCTGTAGAGATGGGGTAGAGCCTCCTGAGTAGCTAGGATTATAGGTGTGCACCACACCATCTGGATACTTAAATTTTTTTGTTTTTGTTTTTGGAGACATGGGTTCTCACTGTGTCATCCAGGCTGATCTTGAACTCCTGGCCTCAAGCCATCCTCCTGCCTCAGTCTCCCAAAGTGTTGAGATTACAGGCGTGAGCCACCACACCTGGCTGTCAAAACAATTTTAACTTCAAAGAATGGAGGTCTTATATTACTTGATTTTCAGACTACATTAGTCGACACTGTGGTATTACCACAAGGATAGACATGGGGTCAATCACAGACACTCACACTTATAATTCCAGCTCTTTGGCAGACCAAGGTAGGAGGATTGCTTGAGGTCAAGAGTTCGAGGCTGCAATGAGCTATGATGGCACTGCTGCACTCCAGCCTGGGTAACAGAGTGAGAACCTGTCTAAAGACAGAAACAAAAAATGATAGACACAGATTAGTGGAATATATTAATGAGTCTAGAAAAAGACCTATACATTTCTCTCTAATTGGTTTTCAATAAATGTACCAAGGCAATTTATTGGGGGTAACAGATGTCTTTTCAATAACTGTTGCTGGATCAAGTGGACATTCATGTGCAAAAGAAAAAAAAATAACTTGAGCTTTATGTATACATATATATAGCTTTATTTATTCATTTTTTAGATGGAGTCTTGCTGTGTCGTCCAGGCTGAGTGCAGTGGCATGATCTTAGCTCACTGCAACCTCTGCCTCTGGGTTCAAGCGATTCTCCTGCCTCAGCCTCTAGTGTAGCTGGGATTACAGGCATGCACCACCACACTTGGCTAACTTTTTATTTTTATTTTTTTAAGTAGAGATGGGGTTTCACCATGTTGACCAGGCTGGTCTCGAACATCTGACCTCAAGTGATCCTTCTACCTCAGCCTTCCGAAGTGCTGGGATGACAGGGGCGAGCCACCACACCCAGCCATATATAGCTTCATATATATGTTATACTTAATGTATAACGTACTATAAAAACAATTTATAAAAGTTTAAAAAACGATTAAAAAACTATAAAAACAATTTATTTTTGCTTTTCAGGGTCAGTGCCAGCGGTTGTTCAGCCTACATTTAGTACCACTATTCATCTATTATATTCCTGTCAGCTTGAGAGGTACAGTCAGGGAGTACCTCACATCCTGCAGATATTCAGCACAAATGTCTGAGCAATCTGGCTAGTTTTGTTCTACTGCTTTCTCAGCAAACCATAATAGGAGGTGCAGTGGTTTATCTCAACATCTTCTTGTGATGGCCACACTATATACTAAAGTTGAGCTCACATTATATACTAAAATTGATATAAATCTAAATGCTACAGTGAAAACTATAAAACACTTTAGAGAAAACTTCTGTCTTGGTTAGGCAAAGATTTCTTAGAACATAAAAAGCACTCACTATGAAAAACAAATTGGACTTCATCCAAAAACTTATCTTTAAAAGATATTTAAAAAATGAAAAACTGGGCTGGGCACGGTGGCTCACACCTGTAATCCCAGCACTTTGGGAGGCCGAGGCGAGTGGATCACTTGAGGTCAGGAGTTCAAGACCAGCCTGGCCAACATGGTGGAACCCTGTCTCTACCAAAAATACAAAATTAGCCAGGCACGGTGGTGCGCACCTGTAATCCTAGCTACTGGGGAGGCTGAGGCAGGAGAACTACTTGAACTTGGGAGGCAGAAGTTGTAGTGGGCCGAGATCATGGCAGTGAACTCCAGCCTGGGCAACAGTGAGACTCCGTCTCAAAAAAATAAAGGAAGAAAAAATGAGCCACAGACTTAGGAGAAAATATTTACAAAAGACACATCCAATAAAGGACTTGTGTGTGGAATAGAAAGCTAATTGTTGAGAAAGTAAGACAACAGTATAAAATAAATGGGTAAAAGAATTGAACAGACACTATCAGGAAGATATGACTGGTAATACCAAATGATGGTGAGAATGTGAAGCACCTGGAACTATCATAGATAGCCGATGGGAACATAAAATAGTAGAGCTATTTTGCATTTTAACACTTTCTTATTAAGTTACCCTTACTACACAACCCAACATTTCCACTTGCAGATATTTAACTAAGAGAAAATGATCACAGCAAGACCTGTATACAGATGTTCATAGCAGCTTATAATAGTCACAAACCGGAAGAAATTCAAACATCAACTGTTGAAAGCATCAACAAATTTTTCTACATCTTAACAATGGAATACTAATAATATAGAGGATAAAATATACACTCAACAACATGGATAAATCTCAAAACAATTTTGCTAAGTAAAAGAAGTCAGCCTCAAAATGCTACTTACTGTATAATTCTACTTACACAACGTTTTTGAAAAGGCAAAACTATAGTGATAGAAAGATTAGTAGTTACTAGGTGCCACAGGTAGAAAAAAAGTATTTGCTGGCAAGGTGGCGAGGAATTTTGGGGGTAATAGAAATACTCTATATCATTTTTGTGATGCTTACACAACTGTCCATCTTTGTCAGAAATCATCTATCCTCCCAACTTATGAATTTTATTCTATATAAATTATATGTCTATAAAGATGATTTTAAAAAACAATTTATTTTTGCTTTTCAGGGTCAGTGCCAGGGGTTGTTCAGCCTACGTTTAGTACCACTATTCATCTATTATATTCCTGTCAGCTTGAGAGATACAGTCAGGGAGCACCTAAAATCCCGCAGTGTTTCAGCACAAATACCCGGGCAAGCTGGCTAGTTTTGTTCTACTGCTTTCTCAGCAAACCATAATAGGAGGTGCAGCCGTTTATCTCAGCTTCTTGTGATGGTCAATACATACTGCACTGTCATAAGAACACTGGTATTGGTACCTTATGCTCAGTCACCTGAAGGCAGGTGATCAAATCCTTCAGGTCAGGACTTTCTTAAAATACTGTTTTTCCCTTGGAGCTCTGCCAGGGTAGTGAATAGATATGAGGAAGATGGATACAAGGATGATTAAAAGTGTCGTGTTTAAGAAGAATCGGTGCACACACCTGTAGGTGAAAAATAAATGCATAAGCTTTGTTTGAATGCAGCTCATATGAAAAGATTTGTGATTTTAAAAAATTATATGCTTAGCATCACAAGTATGATGTAGCTGTCAAAAGGGTAATAATAATACAGGCTGGCATTAGTAGACCTGGACTTTTGCCACATTTGGACTTCTTTCTTTTTATTTTTTTTCGTTATTATTATTTTTTTTAAAGATGAAGGATCTTCAGACTGGAGTGCAGCAGCAGGATGGTAGCTCACTGCAGCCTCAACCTCCTGGCTGAAGTGATCCTCCCACCTCAGCTTCCCGAGTAGCTGGGATTACCAGCACAAGCCACTGTGCCTGGCTTCTTTGTTAATTTCTGAGCAAGATGTTTGAAGAAACTTAACTAGTGGACTTTCTGAGTAGAAAGATCATGTTACATGAGGGCAGAGAGGAGGAACTGGAAATCTATAGCTTGGGAGCTAAACGACTATTTTTATTCATTTTTTTGGTGGATATACTTGATTAGACACTAAGAAATTGTGATACTTTAAAATATATGTTTTGTAAGGTTGTTACTAAACCTTGTTATAGGAGGTTGTAAAAGACATATTTTAAAGGTCTAAAAATAGAGGAATGGATAAATAAATGATACATTTGTGCAATAGAATATATTACCATAAAGGTCTAGAATATTAAATAATATGAAAATGCTGACAGCCATACTAATAAGTAGGAAACTATAGCACAAAACAGTATGAAGAATATGATTTCATTTTTGTTCCCCCAAATGGGCACTTATTTACATGTAAACAGCTAAAGGACAGGAAAATATATTTAACAAGATGTTAACAAGTATGGTGGAGTTATAGGTAATAAAAAAATTTTTTTTTGCTTATTTGTATTTCCTTCAATGAACATGTATTATTTGGTTATGACGGGAAAGTAAAATGTTTCTTAAAAACTAGTCTTTATTGTATCATAAATAGATGTCAGAAATATGCAGAATCAGACATTCAGTGTATTTTTTCACTGAAATTTGAATATAGTGAGAAGGTGCTGGTTTTTTGAAAACATCTGTGGCTTGTGTATAGCAAAGGGCAAATAAGTTCAGTGGATCTGAGTTTCTGTGTTTTCGCTTTTTTTTTATTATTATGCTTTAAGTTCTAAGATACATGTGCAGAACCTACAGGTTTGTTACATAGGTATACATGTGCCATGGTGGTTTGCTGCACCCATCAACCCATCATCTACATTAGGTATTTGTCCTAATGCTATCCCTCCCCTTGCCGCGCACCCCCAACAGGCCCTGGTGTGTGATGTTCCCCTCCCTGTGTCCATGTATTCTCATTGTTCAAGTCCCATTTATTAGTGAGAACATGGGTTTGGTTTTCTGTTCCTGTGTTAGTTTGCCGAGAATAATGGTTTCCAGCTTCATCCATGTACATGCAAAGGACATGAACTCATTCTTTTTTATAGCTGCATAATATTCCATGTTTTCGCTTCTTAAGCCATAAAGAGAAGTGTTCAAGGCTTGATGGATCTCTAAGGTCTTCCTTCCAGTTTTTAACTGAAAACCAGTTGTCAAGATTATAACCAATTAGTTCCACATTTGCTGCAACTTCTCACACACCAAGGTAAAATGGAATGCTGTTTTTAAAAATTACATGAAATATAGATTCCTAGGCCCCCTCTTCACTCAAAGGTGGGCCTGGGAATATGAACTTAACACCTTTTCCTCCCACCCTGCTCAGGTAGGAGTTATGATCAGGCAAGTTTGAGAAATGTTGGGTAAGAAAGGTGATCCAAAGGGAAGGCATGGTGGAACCTCTTAGCAATCACATTCTTTTGTTGTATAACATCAGCCACTGTATGTCCCAGTGTCCAATATGTGTTCCATCAATTCTACCTGTGATGTCAGTTCTCTTCTGCTACTGTTACTTTGAAGTCTCCTAGCATTTCTACCTGAAGAGTTGATTTATGAATTAATTCCACCTACATGTCACCTAAATTAATCTGGCTATATAACCCCCCTCAACCTTTGTCTATAATATATGGCTGCCCTGTGGGGCATCTGATGAAAAAGTGAAAAATGATAAGTTTCATCATTGAGATGTCAGAATTTGAGTCTGCTGCTGAGCCTGCAGAGATTGTTAGGCACATGCATGACTCACAAGGTTTAAATGACATGATTTAAAATGGGACTTTTCTTAATCCAGTCTATCATTGTTGGACATTTGGGTTGGTTCCAAGTCTTTGCTACTGCGAATAGTGCCGCAATAAACATACGTGTGCATGTGTCTTTACAGCAGCATGATTTATAGTCCTTTGGGTATATACCCAGTAATGGGATGGCTGGGTCAAATGGTATTTCTAGTTCTAGATCCCTGAGGAATCGCCACACTGACTTCCACAATGGTTGAACTAGTTTACAGTCCCACCAACAGTGTAAAAGTGTTCCTATTTCTCCACATCCTCTCCAGCACCTGTTGTTTCCTGACTTTTTAATGATTGCCACATATACACCATGGAATACTACGCAGCCATAAAAAATGATGAGTTCATGTCCTTTGTAGGGACATGGATGAAATTGGAAATCATCATTCTCAGTAAACTGTCGCAAGGACGAAAAACCAAACACCGCATGTTCTCACTCACAGATGGGAATTGAACAATGAGAACACATGGACACAGGAAGGGGAACATCACACTCTGGGGACTGTTGTGGGGTGGGGGGAGTGGGGAGGGATAGCATTAGGAGATATACCTAATGCTAAATGATGAGTTAATGGGTGCAGCACACCAGCATGGCACATGTATACATATGTAACTAACCTGCACATTGTGCACATGTACCCTAAAACTTAAAAGTATAATAATAATAAAAAAAATGAGACTTTTACTCTCTTTTTCTATGTCCCTCAAATTTAGATTCCTTAAGATGCATTAGGCATCTTTATGCAATGACTTTTTTCCTTTTTAATCTTTTAAAGCCATTTTAAAATATCTTTGTTCTAATTTTTTGTCACTTATTCGTAATTAGGCCAATGTTTCCGCCAGGCCTTGGGGAGCATACAAACTTGGCTGTATGGCTTGATAAAAAAATGGACTAGTCTTTCAAAAGACTTAAAAAGGTGACAAACAGCAGCCTCTGTTCCAGAGGGCAATGATGCACTTAGTTTTCCTAAATATTTACATCTTCTTGACCATATTATTTGAGTTATTAATGTGGAATATTTTAAAAATATGTACTTGAATTTTTTATTTCAAATACGATTTTTCAAAATGTGGTTCAGAATTACCTAGGGTGCTTACTAAACAGTAGGTTCCTAGGCCCAATACCATAGCCATTGCATCAGAATTCTCTGAGTATGGCCTGGGAATCCCAGCTCTTTGTAAGCTTCCTGTTTATAGGAAGCTTGAGAACTACTGAAGTGATTATAAAATGTACAGTTGGGAGTGTGATGAAATTAATGTTATAATACCTCATCAGATATTAAATATCTTTAGTATGGGCAGTTTTCAGACAAAGGAGTTTACTTCCTTGGAACAGACTGTACGTCCGTGATACCTGATTTTCTGTAAAAGGAGATCATATTTCTAAATATGGACTTGTCAAACTTTTGTAGAAATAATCCAGTATTAAATCAACTCTAAATATCTTCCTACTTCATATGAAAGGTCCATAAATCAAGCAAACACAGCATTAACCACATACATTTTCGTTTGAATTAATTTATTACAGAGATTCCCAGGAGAGGGACTGTAGGACGCCCTGCATCTAGCATAGAGAAGAGAGATTTTTGAGGCTGAAAGGGCAACACTACCTGAATCCAGTTTCAAGTGGGTCTTGAGAACAGTTTCAAACTGTAGTCCAGCCGTGACTCTTGGCTTCTCTCAACCAAAAGGGGTAAAAGTTTATTTTTGGACTTGGGATTCATAGTTGTGAAGAGTGTTGGTTGTAGAGTCAGATATTAACCTGGAGCCTAACTTGGAGGAGTTACCTAATTTCTCCAAGTCTGTCTCATAATCTGTAAAATTGAAACAATAATAACAGTTTTATTTTTGTATTGTGAAATGAGTTGTGTCTGCTGTGCTAAGCTAAGAAGTTGCTTATGGCAAATATTTGATCAATGTTAGCTTTTGTTTTCTGTAATATTAAGTTCACATTCATTGAGAATCCAATATATACTACCCAGTGGAAATGGGGAGTAAAAACTAGTCTAGAAGAACTAGTCAGCCGGGTGCGGTGGCTCACACCTGTAATCCCAACGCTTTGGGAGGCCGAGGCAGGCAGATCATGAGATCAGGACATTGAGACCATCCTGGCTAACATGGTGAAATCCCGTCTCTACTAAAAGTATAAAAAATTAGCCAGGCATGGTGGCGGGCACCTGTAGTGCCAGCTACTCGGGAGGCTGAGGCAGGAGAATCATTTGAACCCAGGAGGCAGAGGTTGCAGTGAGCTGAGATTGTGCCACTGCACTCCAGCCTGGGCGACAGAGCAAGACTCTATCTCAAAAAAAAAAAAAAAAAACTAGTCTAGAATAGTTTTGACAAGTTCTTTTTTTTTTTTTTTTTTTTTTTGAGACTGAGCCTTGCTGTGTCACCTAGCCTGGAGTGCAGTGGTGAGATCTTGACTCACTGCAACCTCCACTACTGGGGTTCAAGTGATTCTCATGCCTGGGATTACAGGCGTGCACCACCACACCTGGCTAATTTTTGTATTTTTAGAAGAGACGGGGTTTCACCGTGTTGGCCAGGCTGATCTGGAACTCCTGACCTCAAGTGATCCGTCTGCCCCGGCCTCCCAAAATGCTGGGATTACAGGCATGAGCCACTGTGCTTGGCCTTGACAGGTTCTTTTAAGGTTTAATTACAAGCTGACCCAAGAAAATTAAATAGGAATCCCTCAAAGCAGCTGAGTCATGCTTTGTCAAGTGAACTAAAAAGCATGAACTGCATTTGTTACCTCTTTTATGTATTATTTCTATCTTAACTGTTTTATTCCCACTGCAGTTGATAGATTTTAACATCAGATTATAAAACAGTGGCACCGTGAGGGCGTAGAAGAAGAATAAAGGGAAATGTCTCTCTTAAAAGAGCCCTTGGGGCCGGGCATGGTGGCTCACACCTGCAGTCCCAGCACTTTGGGAAGCTGAGGCGGGTGGATCGCTTGAGCTCAGGAGTTCAAGACCAGCCTGGCCAACATGGCAAAACCCCATCTCTACTAAAAATACAAAAATTATCTGGACGTGGTGGCGCGTGCCTGTGGTCCTAGCTACTCAGGAGGCTGAGGTGGGAGGATTGCTTGAGCCTAGGAGGTGGAGGTTGCAGTGAGCCCAGATCATACCACTGCACTCCAGCCTGGATGACAGAGGTGGTGTCTCAAAGAAAAAAACAAACAAAACCCTTTGATGGAGACAGTGGAGATACTATCAGGGGATCATTTTTTTTTTTTTTTTTTTCACACAGAGAATCTGAGAAGCCCACTTGGGGAGTGAACTCAACAACCATAGTTGTCTTGGCACTAGGCATTAAGCAACTGAACTCACACTTATATTCTAAGTAAAAGATGCAAAGAAAATAACTTTAGAAAACTAATACAGACTCTCAGTCTTTAATTAGTGTATTTAACACATTATTGAGTACCCACTATATGCCATGCGTTTTGTCTTCAAAAATGGGAAAGGCGGCCAGGCACAGTGGCTCACGCCTGTAATCCCAGCACTGTGGGAGGCCGAGGCGGATGGATCACGAGGTCAGGAGATCAAGACCATCCTGGCTAACGCAGTGAAACCCTGTTTACTAAAAATACAAAAAAAAAAAAAATAGCCAGGCGTGGTGGCAGGTGCCTGTAGTCCCAGCTACTTGGGAGGCTGAGGCAGGAGAACGGTGTGAACCCGGGAGGCGGAGCTTGCAGTGAGCTGAGATCGCGCCACTGCACTCCAGCCTGGGCGACAGAGCAAGACTCTGTCTCAAAAAAAAAAAAAAAAAAAAAAAAAAAAAGCACAAGCTGTGCTTTCTTGGAGCATTTAGTCTAGAAGCGCTAATAGATAATTTGAGGAAAGGTAGGCTCACCACATGAAGAACTACACTATAATATATATTGCTCACAGGATAACAGTTCTTTTTAAAATACCAAGACGTTACCGGAACAGACCTGGAAGACTCAGTGAGATTGCTCTCTGCCTTCAAAGGGAGAATGAGAGGGTAAAGGACTTGGATTGGATAACTCTAGGGCTAACATCCTGCCGTAGAAAGAGACAAAATCAAGAGGACACATGGTTTAAAGCTGCAGACATGAGATTTGTTAGGTTTTCTTTCTTTGGTTTTTTCTTTGTTTTTTTTTTCTGGACAGAGTCTTACCTGTCGTCCAGGCTGGAGTGCAGTGGCATGATCTTGGCTCACCGCAATCTCCACCTCCTGGGTTTAAGTGAGTCTCCTGCCTCAGCCTCCTGAGTAGCTGGGATTACAGGCGTCCACAGCTACACCCGGCTAATTTTTGTATTTTTAGTACAGATGGCATTTCACCATGTTGGCCAGGCTGGTCTTGAACTCCTGACCTCAAATGATCCACCTGCCTTGGCCTCCCAAAGTGCTGGGATTACAGGCGTGAGCCACTGCACCTGGGCAGATTTGTCATCTTTTCTACCTGAATGCTTACCTTCAGTCTTGAAGGAAGTGTGTGCAAATGTCCTCCAAGTGAATAGAAATAAACTAACCTATTTCATAACACAGTCCTACTTGATTCCTTTACAAATAGTGATTCAGAGCTTCGGCTCCAGAGTCAAGCTGATCTGGATTTGAATTCCATCTTTTGCAGTAATAAAATTTGACTTAACTTTTTAAGCTTCTTTTCCCTTGTTTGTGAAGTAGAGATGATGATAAAACATTGTTCATAGTTGAAGAAGGTAAATGAGATGATACATTTAAAGTGCTTAGCATGATACTTAACATGCTAACCTGTTAAGTTTTCAATAAATTTTTACTATTATTAAACTATAATAGCCATTCTTTAAAGAAAAAGGGGGCTGGGTGTGGTGGCTCATGCCTGTAATACCGACTTTTTGGGAGGCCGAGGTGGGTGGATCACCTGAGGTCAGGAGTTCAAGACTGGCCTGACCAACATGGAAAAACCTCATCTCTACCAAAAATACAAAGTTAGCTGGGCGTGGTGGCGCATGCCTGTAATCCCAGCTACTCAGGAGGCTGAGGCAGGAGAATTGCTTGAACCCGGGAGGTGGAGGTTGCGATGAGCCAAGATTGCACCATTGCACTCCAGCCTGGGCAACAAAAGTGAAACTCTGTCTCAAAAAAAAAAAAAAAAAAAAAAAAAAAAAAAAAAAGGGGGAGGGAGGAAAGGAAAAGAAAATCAGTGAATACACTAGGTGTCAGCGTTGTGCTTCAAATCGTGAAGTGCACAAAATGCCTACTCTGATTTTATTTAGAAGGTGTCCAAGTTGAACTGGCTTAGAATAGAAAGATACTTAAGCAGATCTGGGAAAGTCAGAATTCTAAAACTGCAAAAGGATATAACAATGTGCTGGCTTAGGACAGCATACACTGATGATCTTTTAAAGCTCGCAATCTATTAAAAATAAGAGCTGCCTACCCCACTGGTCTACAGCCATCTCCATAGACTCAGCATGGAAATTAAGACTAATCTCACCTTTGTCTAGGATGCCAGCATTTTTCTCATATCTATAATCTAAGTCTTGGAGTCATTTTCTAGGAAGAATTGTGTTTGAATCCTGTCTTTACTACTTATTAGCTGTGTAGATGATGATAATATTTGTTTTACCTACTCCATACGGTCATCAGAATGACTTCTGAAAAATGTGTATTTTGAAAAGCGGCTTACTAAAATGTAAAATATTATTATTCTGTACAGTTGGCAAACAACACAGGTAGAGAGAGGAAGATTTTTCCCAGAATTCTTGAGTTGCTCTGAAGCCTCAATTTTTTGAAAAGATAATTTGCTCTTAAATGAAACTTAGAATGAACTGATTGAGCTTGTTTAAATACTGGTTATGACCCAATCCCAAAATGGGATTAATCCACAGTGTAGTAACACAATCCTATGTATTTCTTTTTTCTTTCTTTTTTTTTTTTTTTTTTTTTTTTTGAGACAGAGTCTCTATAGCCTAGGATGGAGTGTAGTGGTGCGATCTTGGCTCACTGTAACCTCTGCCTCCCAGATTCAAGGAATTCTCGTGTCACAGCCTCCCAAGTAGCTAGGATTACAGTTGTATGCCACCATGCCCAGCTAATTTTTCTATTTTTTTTTTTAGTAGAGACAGGGTTTCATCATGTTGGCCAGGCTAGTCTTGAACTCCTGGCCTCAAGTGATCCACCCGCCTTGACCTCCCAAAGTGCTGAGATTACAGGCGTGAACCACTGTGCCCAGCCAATCCTATGTATTTCATAGTATACAGTGATAATCTTAGAGTGAATATGAAAAAAAGCCTCTAAACTTCCTTAACACAGACTATCAATCATTTAATAGCTGAATATTTGGTGTGAGTGGGATAATACTTGATATAGCATTCTTTGGGTATAGACCTTAAGTTTTTCATAGGTTTTCTCATGATTTTGCATGTGAACTAAACTGTTATATCTCTATCACATTCATTGAGAATCCATTATGTACTAGACATTTGAAAAGGAGAGTAAAAACTGGTTTAGAATAACTAGTCTGGAATAATTTCAACAGGTTCTTTGAGGGTTTAATTACAAAGGTTTGATTGCAGGCCGACTCAAGAAATTGAAAGGGGAGTTTTAACAATTTTAAAGTTTTACTTCAGTGACATAAGCAATAGTAAAGTTGACAATCCTTAATCCAAAAATTGAAATGCTCCAAAATCTGAAAAGTGTTTGAGCAAAGACGTGACACCACAAGTAGGAAATTCCACACCAGACCTCATGTGACAGGTCACAGTCAAAAAGCAGTCTAAACTTTGTTTCATGCACAAAATTATTAAGAATATTATATAAAATTACCTTCAGGTTATATGTATTAGGTATATATAAAACATGAATGAATTTTATGTTTAGTCTTGGATCCCATCCCCAGGATATCTCATTATGTCTATGCAAATATTCCATAATCTGAAAGAAATTCAAAATTTGAAACATGTCTGGTCCCAAACATTTCAGATAAAGGATATTCAACCTTTAGACGCAGCTCTATAAATGCCTACTGAGAGTATCAGAAAGATAGTGTTAACTTGCATGGTCTATTTTTGGGTTGCACTTATGAAAATCTCTTGGGCAAGGACAAAACCAGACCTTTATAGGCAACTAAGACTTACCTTCATACATGTAGAGATAGATATACATACATGTGTATAATAATAACTATTATAATATAATTGTATAATATAACTACTATAATAACTATAATAACTATTATTGCTAATGTTAGTGGCAGTAGTAGATATAAATGATGATGTAGACACCATAACATAAAAAGATGTCTATACCAGTAGAATCTATTCAGTGAGTTTATAGTGTAATCATGGGCTAAATCAGACTGATATAAATTCTATCATGTAGATTATAAAATTTACATAATAAAGTTTGCAATCTACCCATCTGACAAAGGGCTAATATCCGGTATCTACAAGGAGCTTAAACAAATTTACAAGAAGAAAACAACTCCATCAAAAAGTGGGTGAAGGATATGAACAGACACTTTTCAAAAGAAGACATTTATGTTGCCCACAAACATGAAAAAAAGCTCATCATCACTGGTCATTAGAGAAATGCAAATGAAAACCACAATGAGATACCATCTCATGCCAGTTAGAACGGCGATCATTAAAAACTCAGGAAACTAACAGATGCTGGAGAGGATGTGGAGAAATAGGAACGCTTTTACACTGTTGGTGGGAGTGTAAATTAGTTCAACCATTGTGGAAGACAGTGTGGAGATTCCTCAAGGATCTAGAACTAGAAATAGCATTTGACCCAGCAATCCCATTACTGGGTATATATCCGAAGGACTATATATCATGCTACTATAAAGACACATGCCCATATATGTTTATTGGAGCACTATCCACAATAGCAAAGACTTGGAACCAACCCAAATGCCCATCAATGATAGACTGGATAAAGAAAATGTGGCACTTATACACCATGGAATACTACACCGCCATAAAGAAGAATGAGTTCATGTCCTTTGCAGGGACATGGATGAAGGTGGAAACCATCATTCTCAGCAAACTAAAACAAGAACAGAAAACCAAACACCACATGTTCTTACTCACAAGTGGGACTTGAACAATGAGAACACATGGACACAGGGAGGGAAACATCACACACGGGGGTCTGTCAGGGCATGGGGGACAAGGGGAGGGATAGCATTAGGAGAAATACCTAATGTAGATGATGGGTTGATGGGTGCCACAAACCACCATGGCACATGTATACCTATGTAACAAACCTGCACGTTTTGCACATGTATCTTAGAACTTAAAGTATAATAAAAAAAAAAACTTCAAAAATAACTTCAAATGAATAATAAATGTGATAGCTGCACTATTATGGTGAACTTGAGGTTTAGAGAATGGTTTTTCCATGTCTGAGTTGCAGAGATATTACTAATACTATACAAGAATAATTTCTCCATCTTTTCTCTGAAGTGATAGACAACTGTCTTCCTATGAGACAGAAACTTGGAGCTTTCTTCCTTTTAGTTAATAACCAATTTATAGCTGTCTTTAAACTTTGCATCCTTCTTTTCTAAAAAGAAAATCTAAAAAGGAAATCTATCCTGGTTAGTATAGCAGTGTTTTTCAAGTGTTTTAAAAATATGGGTTATATATAAAATTAGTGGTTTGCAGTAAATTTTGAAAAGTGCAATAAAATAGAAAATAGAGTGCACCACACAAAGTAAAGTATTTTATGCATCAATACACACACATGTATATACATAAACATATTAGTCCATATGCAAAACATGAGAGACAGTGTATGAAGTGACTAAGGGCATGGGTTCTGGAGCCACAGGGCCTGTATTCAAATCCTGGTCTGGTTACTTGTCTTTGGACAAGTCACTAAGTGCTTCAAGTTACTCATTTGTAAAATCGAGATATTAATAACCTTACAGGATATTGTGAGGATTAAATGAGCTACCACATGTAAAGAGCTTATAATTTATAAGGCACTTTCTATACACATATACATACACCCTATTTATACGCACATGTGTAGTGAGGGATATGTGTGTGTGTGTGTGTGTGTGTGTGTGCACGCGTGCACTATGTTCTAATGTAAAATATGTTTCTTACTCTGAGTCGTGGTTTTAAAAGATATGAAAGCTACTGGTTTATCGGGTGGCTGGCATTGTGGGTGGATATGGAGTGATGAGACCCTGGTCCTGGTCAATATTCTGCCAATTCCTGTGTGACCTGGAACATGTTACTTAACCTCTCTGTCCTCATTGCCGCATTGTTCTCTCTCTCTCTCCCTCCCTCCCTCCCTCTCTCTCTCTCTCTCTCTCTCTCTCTCCTACTTCAGCCTCTTCAGTAGCTGGGACTATAGGTGTGTGACACCATGCCTGGCTAATTTTTTTATTTTTTTGCAGAGACAGGATCTCACTATGTTCCCCAGGCTCTCATTGTCTTTTTCTTAAAGGTAATTAGACACTAAATTATCCTAAATGTGCCAATAAACAATATAATTCTATGCTTCTGTTAATCTTTCTGGTTCTTCCCTCTCTCCCCTTTTGAGAAAAATGGGAAGTTCTTTATGGATTGTGGATTATGAGTTTTGACCTTGGCCAGGATGAATGAGTGAGGATTAGGTACCTGAGGAAAAAGACACCTAATAGGGACTCTCCATATAGAATAGGGACTAAATGACCTTATCATATTCTTCCTCTGAGGGGAAGTTGAATGTGGGAAGAGAGGCAACATTTGAGATGCATAGAGGAGACATCAGAATGAAAGAGAATGAGAGCCAGTGTGGTGGCATGTGCCTGTAGTTCCAGCCACTTGGGAGGCTGAAGCAGGAGATCACTTGAGCCCAGGAGTTCAAAGTTACAGTGAGCTATGGTTGCGTCACTCCAGTCCAGCTTGGGTGACAGAGCAAGTCCCCTGTCTTTAAAATAATAATAATACCAATAAAAGAATGGAAGATAGAGAAGTGTGGCTGTAGTATCCTTCAAACTGTAATAGAAAAAGGTGGCCTGTAGAATCAGTGCTGGTGACAAAGTTATGCTTAGCGGGGAGAAACATCGGAAACTGCCTTTGATGAGCTATTATGGCTATAGAAACACTGATCTTGAAGACATACCCTGTCTAGTTTAGAAGTGAGACAAAAAGATAGTTGAGGTCAGGGTGAGTCAGGAGAGAAGACGAGTCAATGAAGAGGCAAAGGGGCTTGAGAAACACAAGAAGATATAGGTTGAATACGAGAGACAACCAGTGAACCTTTCTTGTGAAAAGGGATGGTCGATAACATTTTTAGTAGCAGGAATGTCTAAACCTCATTTTTTGTTTTTGTTGGCTCTGCAACCCGCCTCTATGGCCCTAGACCTTCAGTCTTGAGTTGACAGTGTTCCTGAAAGTAAGGGGATTACAAAGGATCCATCAGCTTGATACAAAGTAGAAAATGCAATGAAGAACAGTTGCTAAGAATTTAGTGGAAGCAGAAACTCAGCTTTGAAAAGTAACCACCCCTGCCCGTCCTCCCACCTCCGATTCCAAGCACCCAGAGATATTCGTCCAGAGATATTCAGGGATGCCAAGTTACCTAACATATATGGCGTGTAGGTTTGAGACAATTTACTTAAATCTTGGAAGACAAGGTTCTATGGGTTGAATACATCCCCTCCAAAATTCAGGTGTTGCCAATGTGATAGAGAGGTGTGTCATTTAAGAAGTGATGAGGCCATGGGAACGCCTCCCTCAATGGGATTAAGGCTTCATGCAGCTTGCCCTTCCATCTTCAGCCATGTGGGAACTTGGCAAGAAGTCCTTCACCAGACCAAATGCCATGCCTATCTTGGACTTCCCAGCTTTCAAATTGTGAGAAATAAATTTCTTTTCTTTATGAATGACTCAGTCTTGAGTATTTTCTTATAGCAGCACAAAACCGACTATGACACAAGGTGAGTCAAGCAAGTGCAATACTTGGGGGTATTCAAGAGGCTGATACATGACATGATAGCACAGTTCTCTGTTACTTAGATTGGTATTTTTCAAAGAGCATCTTATTACTAGCTTTGTAAGTTACTCCTCACCAAACTCCTTGCCAAATTTTAATAATTTTAATATACATGGAATATTTAGATACATTGAATTCTCAAATAGGAAATTATATTTTCATATACCAGCAAATTGAAATTAAAACAGAAATATCATTTACAGAAGTATCAAAAATTATATTTAGGGATAAATCTGACCAAATTTGTGGAAGATCTATCTGTACACTGGAAACTACAAAATGTTGCTGAAAGAAGTTAAAGAAAGCTTCAATAAATGAAGATATATACCTTCTGCATGGGCTGGAAGACTCAATATTTTTAAGATATCAGTTCTCCTCAAATTGATTTATAGATTCAACATAATCCCAACCAAAATCTCAGCAGACTTAAAAAAAAATGGGAACTGGCAAGCTGGTATGGGAATGCCAAGGACCTAGAATAACTGCCACAACTTCAGAAGAAGAAGAAAAAAAAGAACAAAGTTGAAAGGCTATACTATTGGATTTTAACCATTATTATTAAAATATAATAATCAAAACAGGGTGGTATTGGCATGAAGATAGACAATTACACTAAAGAAGCGGAATAGATAACTCTGAAATAGACCCACACATGGACAATGACTTTTTTAGAGTGGTACAAAGGTAATGCAATGGGAACAGTGTAGATTTTTTCAACAAATGGTGCTGGAACAATTGGATATCCATATCTCTATCTATATGTATATAAAGGAACTTGGATTGATGCCATGCAACATATACAAAAACTAACTCAAAATAGGTCATATATGTCAATGTAAAACCTAAACTCTTAGAAGAAAACATGGGAGAAAACCTTTGTAACCTTCGGTTCAGCAAATATTTCTTAGATAAAACACCAAAATCGGCCAGGCATGGTGGCTTACACCTATAATCCCAGCAATTTGGGAGGCTGAGGCAGGTGGATCACTTGAGGTCAGGAGTTGGAGACTAGCCTGGCTAACATGATGAAACCCTGTCTCTACTAAAAATATAAAAATTAGCTGGGAGTGGTGGCTTGCACCTGTAGCTCCAGCTACGTGGGAGGCTGAGGCACAATAATTGCTTGAACTCGGGAGGCAGAGGTTGCAGTGAGCCAAGATTGTGCCACTGCACTCCAGCCTGGGCAAGAGCGAGATCCTGTCTCAAAAACAAACAACCCACCAAAATCACAACCAATAAAAGGATGAATTGATAAATTAGACTTCATCAAAATTTAAAATTTCTATTTTTCAAAGACACTATTAAGAGAATGAAAAGACAAGCCACATAGTGAGATAAAATCTTTGGCCAGAATATATTTGATAAAGGACTTGGACACTTGAAACTCAACAATAAGAAAACAAATAACCCAATTAAAATAATGGGCTAAAGATTTGAACAGACATTTCTCCAAAGAAGATATATAGATGACAAGTAATTGCATGAAAAGGTGCCCAATATCATTACTCATTAGGTAAATGCAAATTAAAAACTGCAGTGAGATACTACTACATACCTATAAAAATGATTAAAATTAAAACGATTCACCATACCAAGTGTTGGTGAGAATGTGGAGGAACTAAGTATCTCATATACTGCCAGTAGAAATGTAAAATGGTACAATCACTTTGTAAACCAGTTTGAGAGTTACTTAAAAAGTTAGATGTATGGTGGCAAGATGGTGAAATAGAAGCCTACACCACTTGCCCCCAACCACTGGAACACCAAATTTAACAACTATAGAGAAAAACACCATCACAAGAAGCAAATATCAGGTGAGAAATCAGAGTACCATACTTTAACTTCATATCACTGAAAGAGTCACTGATGAGGGCAGGAGAGACAGTCGTCTTGAATCGCCAATGCCATACCTCTCACATCCCCATCTCAACTCCTCAGCACAGAGAATCTGTGCATTTTGGGGAGGGAGAGTGCTGCAATTGGAGGACTTTACATTGAACTCAGTGCTACCTGTCACAGTGGAGAATAAAGCTATGCTGGGCTCAGCAAATGCCTGTGCATGGAGAGAGCATTGGGACCACCCTTAGCCAGAGGGGAATTGCCCATTCCAATGATCAGAACTTGAATTTCTAGGAGTGTGGGCTGAAGTGCCCTGGGGGTTCTAGGTAAACTTGAAAGGCAGTTTAGAACACAAAGACTGCAATTGCTAGGCAACTCCTAGTGCTAGCCCAGGCTTAGAGCCAGTGGACTTGGGTGGCATGTAACCTAGGGAGACATCAGCTGACGTGGCTAAGGGAGAACTTGTGCTCACGCAACAAAAGTGACTCCTTTCTTCTGCTTAAGGATAGGAAAGTGAAGAATTAAGAGGACGATGTCTTGCATCTTGGATATCAGCTCAGCCACTGTAGGATAGGCCACCGGGCAGAGTCCTGAGGCCCTCATTCCAGGCCCTACTTTCCAGATGACATTTTGAGACACACACTGGTGCAAAAGAACCTGCTGCCTCGAAGGGAAGGACCTAGTCCTGGCAGGATTAATCACCTGCTGACTAAGGAGCCCTTGGGCCCTGAATAGCCAGCAGTGATACCCAGGGACCACACTGTGGGCATTGGGCTCTGAGATGTGCTGACTTCAGGGGTGACTCAGCACATTCCCAGCTGTGGTGGCTATGGTGAAAGACTCCTGTTTGATAAAAGCTTTTATTAAAGACTGTATGTCTTTATAGGTGGACACCATTTCTGGACCTGCCCTGGGTCAGAGGAGAGCCTACTGCCCTGAAAGGTGAGTCCCAGGCTTGGGAGCATTCACCCCAAGCTGACAGAGGAGCCCTTGGGCTCAAAACAAACATCAGCTGTGGCCTGGCAGAACCCCCTGTGGACTGGTAGTAGTGATGGCCACAGGGACAGCTTCCTCTGTGGAAAGCGAAGGACTTTCTATTGTGGTTTGAGTGCCAGCTTAGCTGCAGTAGAATAGAATATTAGCTAAATTTCTAAGGTTTTTGACTCCAGTCCTTGGCTCACAAACAGCATCTGTGGACACACCTGGAGCCTGGGGGGGATCTTACCACCCTTAAGGAAAGAGCCTTGGATAAGGTCCAGTGCATTGCTGGCTTCAGGTCTGACCCAGCACAGTCCCAGTGGTGGTGGTCACAGGGGTACTTGCATCACCACACCTCCAGTTCCAGGTGCCTCAGCACAGAGAAACTCCATATGTTTGGGAGAAAATAGGGAAAAGAACAAGAGTTTCTGCTTGGTAATCCAGATAATTCTTTTGGATCTTATCTAAGACACCAAGGTATTACTTCTACAAGTCTGCAAAAACCACAGCATTATTGAGTTTGAGGCCCAAGTCCCTTTGAATACCTGGAAAACCTTCCCAAAATGGGACAGGCACAAACAAGCCCAGACTGTGACAACTACAATAAATACCTAACTCTTCAATGCCCAGACACTGAAGAACATCTACAAGCACCAATGCTTTCCAAGAAAACATGACCTCACCAAATGAACTAAATAAGACACCACAGCCCAATCCTGGAGAAACAGATATGTGACCTTTCAGACAGAGAATTCAAAATAGCTGTTTTGAGGAAGCACAATGAAATTCAAGAGAAAACAGAAAATGAATCCAGAATTCTATTAGCTAAATTTAACGAAGAGATTGAAGCAAAAAGAAGCAGAAATTGTAGAGCTGAAAAATACAACTGACATGCTGAAGAAGCCATCAGAGTCTCAATAGTAGAACTGATCAAACAGAACAGAGAATTAGCTTGAAAAGAGGTGATTTGAAAACGGAGTCAGAAGAGACAGAAAAAAGAATAAAAAACAATGAAGCATGCCTACAAGATCTAGAAAGTAGACTCAAAAGGGATACTCTAAGAGATATTGGCCTTAAAGAGGTGGTAGAGAAGGAGAAAGCAGTAGGAAGTTTATTCAAAGGGATAATATCAGAGAACTTCCCAAACCTAGAAAAGATATCAACATTCAAGTATAAGAAGGTTATAGAACAGCAAGCAGATATAACCCAAAGAAGACTACCTCAGGCATCAAATAATCAGACTCCTGAAGGTCAAGGATAAAGAAAGGATCCTAAAATCAGCAAGAGAAAGGAAACAAATAACATACAATTGAGCTCCAATACATCTGGCAGCAGACTTTTCAGTGGAAACCTTACAGGTCAGGAGAGAATGGTATGACACTTTTAAAGTGTTGAAGGAAAAAACCTTTTACCCTAGACTAGTATACCTGGTGAAAATATTCTTCAAACATGAATGAGAAATCAAGACTTTCCCAGAGAAACAAAAGCTGAGGGATTTCATCAACACCAGACCTGTTCTACAAGAAATGCTAAAAAGAGCTCTTCAATTTGAAAAAAAAAAAAAAAAATGAGCAAGAAGAAATCATCAGAAGCTACAAAACTCACTGGTAGTAGTAAACACACAGAAAAACACAGAATAGTATGAATAGTGTAACACTGTAATTGTAGTGTATAAAGTACTCTTTTTTTTTTTTTTTTTTTTTTTGAGACAAGAGTCTTGCTCTGTCACCCAGGCTGGAGTACAGTGGTGTGATCTCGGCTCACTGCAAGCTCTGCCTTCTGGGTTCACGCCATTCTCCTGCCTCAACCTCCCGAGTAGCTGGGACTACAGGTGCCCACCACCATACCCGGCTAAGTTTTTGTATTTTTCAGTAGAGACGGGGTGTCACCATGTTAGCCAGGATGGTCTTGATCTCCTTACCTTGTGATCTGCCTGCCTCGGCCTCCTAAAGTGCTGGGATTACAGGTGTGAGCCACCGCACCCAGCCATAAAGTACTCTTAAGTAGAAATGCTAAATGATGAACCAATCAAAAATAATAACTACAGCTTTTCAAGACACAGACAGTACAATAAGATATAATGAAAAGCAACAGAAGGTTAAAAAGCTGGGGGATGAAGTGAAAAGTGTAGAATTTTTATTAGTTTTCTTTTTGCATGTTTGTTTATGCAATTAGTGTTGTCTTCAGTTTAAAACAATGCGTTATAAGATAGTATTTGCAAGCCTCATGGTAACCTCAAATCAACACACAGTGGATACACAAAAAATAAAAAGCAAGAAATTAAATCATAGCACCAGAGAAAATCACCTTCACTAAAAAAGGACAAGAAGGAAGGAAAAAGGGAAGAGAAGACCACAAAACAAACAGAAAACAACAAAATGGCCAGAGTAAGTCCTTACTTATCTATAATAACATTGTAAATGAACTAAACTCTCCAATCAAAAGACAGAGAGTGGCTGAATGGATGAGAAAATAAGAACGAATGATCTGTTGCCTAAAAGAAACACACTTCACCTATAAAGATACACATAGACTGAAAATCAGGGATGGGAAAAGATATTCCATGCAAATCAAAGCCAAAAAAGACCAGGAGTAGCTATATTTATATCAGACAAAATTGATTTCAAGACAAAAACGATAAGAAGACATGAAGTCCTTGCCCATGACTATGTCCTGAATGGTATTGCCTAGGTTTTCTTCTAGGGTTTTTATGGTTTTAGGTCTAACATTTAAGTCTTTAGTCCATCTTGAATTAATTTTTGTATAAGGTGTAAGGAAGGGATCCAGTTTCAGGTTTCTACATATGGCTAGCCAGTTTTCCCAACACCATTTATTAAATAGGGAATCCTTTCCCTATTGCTTGTTTTTGTCAGGTTTGTCAAAGATCAGATAGTTGTAGATATGCGGCATTATTTCTGAGGGCTCTGTTCTGTTCCATTGGTCTATATCTCTGTTTTGGTACCAGTACCATGCTGTTTTAGTTACTGTAGCCTTGTAGTATAGCTTGAAGTCAGGTAGCATGATGCCTCCAGCTTTGTTCTTTTGGCTTAGGATTCACTTGGCAATGCAGGCTGTTTTTTGGTTCCATATGAACTTTAAAGTAGTTTTTTCCAATTCTGTGAAGAAAGTCATTGGTAGCTTGATGGGGATGGCATTGAATCTATAAATTACCTTGGGCAGTATGGCCATTTCACCATATTTATTCTTCCTACCCATGAGCATGGAATGTTCTTCCATTTGTTTGTATCCTCTTTTATTTCATGGAGCAGTGGTTTGTAGTTCTCCTTGAAGAAGTCCTTCACATCCTTTGTAAGTTGGATTCCTAGGTATTTTATTGTCTTGGAAGCAACTGTGAATGGGAGCTCACTCATGATTTGGCTCTCTGTTTGTCTGTTACTGGTGTATAAGAATGCTTGTGATTTTTGCACATTGATTTTGTATCCTGAGACTTTGCTGAAGTTGCCTATCAGCTTAAGGAGATTTTTGGCTGAGACGATGGGGTTTTCTAGATATACAATCATGTCATCTGCAAACAGAGACAATTTGACCAAAAGCAATGGCAACAAAAGCCAAAATTGACAAATGGGATCTAATTAAACTAAAGAGCTTCTGCACAGCAAAAGAAACTACCATCAGAGTGGACAGGCAACCTACAGAATGGGAGAAAATTTTTGCAATCTACTCATCTGACAAAGGGTTAATATCCAGAATTTACAATGAACTCAAACAAATTTACAAGAAAAAAACAACCCCATCAAAAAGTGGGCAAAGGATATGAACAGACACTTCTCAAAAGACGACATTTATGCAGCCAAAAGACACTTGAAAAAATGCTCATGATTACTGGCCATCAGAGAAATGCAAATCAAAACCACAATGAGATACCATCTCACACCAGTTAGAATGGCGATCATTAAAAAGTTAGGAAACAACAGGTGCTGGAGAGGATGTGGAGAAATAGGAACACTTTTACACTGTTGGTAGGACTGTAAACTAGTTCAACCATTGTGGAAGTCAGTGTGGCGATTCCTCAGGGATCTAGAACTAGAAATACCATTTGACCCGGCCATCCCATTACTGGGTATATACCCAAAGGATTATAAATCATGCTGCTATAAAGACACATGCACACGTATGTTTATTGCAGCACTATTCACAAGAGCAAAGACTTGGAACCAACCCACATGTCCAACAATGACAGACTGGATTAAGAAAATGTGGCACATATACACCATGGAATACTATGCAGCCATAAAAAATGATGAGTTCATGTCCTTTGTAGGGATATGGATGAAGCTGGAAACCATCATTCTCAGCAAACTATCGCAAGGACAAAAAACCAAACACCGCATGTTCTCACTCATAGGTGGGAATTGAACAATGAGAACACATGGACACAGGAAGGGAAACATCACACACCGAGGTCTGTTGTGAGGTGGGGGGAGTGGGGAGGGATAGCATTAGGAGATATATCTAATGTTAAATGACGAGTTAATGGGTGCAGCACACCAACATGGCACATGTATACATATGTAGCAAACCTGCACGTTGTGCACATGTACCCTCAAACTTAAAGTATAATAAAAAAAACTATAAGAAGAGACAAAGAAGGTCATTATATAATGATAAAGGGGTCAGTTCAGCAAGAGGGTATAATGATTATTAATCTATATGCATTCAATACTAGAGCACCCAAATATATAAAGCAAATATTAATTAATAGAGCTAAAGAGGGAGATCTCAATACAATAATATCCAGAGACTTCAACACCTCACTTTCAGCATTGGACAGATCTCCCAGATAGAAAATTAACAGAGAAAATTTGGACTTAATCTACACTATGGAACAAATGGATCTAATAGATATTTACGGAACATTTCATCCAATGGCTGCAGAATACACATTCTTCTCCTCAGCACATAAATCATTCTGAAGGACAGGCGATATGTTAGGTTACAAAACAAAACATTAAAAAAAATTGAAATAATATCAAGAATCTTCTCTGACCACAATGAAATAAAACTAAGAATAACGAGAGGAACTTTGTAAAACTATACAAGGACTTCAGCGGACATGGCTCCCAGCGTGCCAGCGGCAGAACCCGAGTATCCTAAAGGCATCCAGGCCGTGCTGCTGGGGCCTCCCGGGGACGGTAAAGGCACCCAGGCACCCATATTGGCTGAAAACTTCTGTGTCTGCCATTCGGCTACTGGGGACAGGCTGAGGGCCATGGTGGCTTCTGGCTCAGAGCTAGAAAAAAAGCTGAACGCAACTATGGATGCTGGGAAACTGGTGAGTGATGAAATGGTAGTGGAGCTCATTGAGAAGAATTTGGAGACCCCCCTTGTGCAAAAATGTTTTTCTTCTGGATGGCTTCCCTCGGACTGTGAGGCAGGCAGAAATGCTCGATGACCTCATGGAGAAGAGGAAAAAGAAGCTTGATTCTGTGATTGAATTCAGCATCCCAGACTCTCTGCTGATGATTTTAGAGTCAACTGTGAGACAGAGCTGGCCATGTGCCAGCCAGTAGAGAACGACATCCATGGGCTCTGCGAGGTCATTGATGACACCAATGTCACTCAGCTGCAGCTGGAGACAGAGATCCAGGCTTTCAAGGAGGAGCTGCTCTTATGAAGAAGAACCATGAAGAGGAAGTAAAAGGCCTACAAGCCCAGATTGCCAGCTCTGGGTTGACTGTGGTGGTAGATGCCCCCATATCTCAGGACTTCGCCAAGATCATGGCAGACATCTGGGCCCAATATGACGAGGTGGCTCAGAAGAACAGAGAGGAGCTGGACAATAACAGGTCTCAGCAGATTGAGGAGAGCACCACAGTGGTCACCACACAGTCCACCGAGGTTGGAGCTGCTAAGGCGATGCTCACAGAGCTGACACGTACAGTCCAGTTCTTGGAGATCAACCTAGACTCCATGAGAAATCTGAAGGCCAGTTTGGAGAACAGCCTGAGGGAGGTAGTGGCCCGCTATGCCCTGCAGATGGAGCAGCTCAATGGGATCCTGCTACACCTGGAGTCAGAGCTGGCACAAACCTGGGCAGAGGGACAGTGCCAGGCCCAGGAGTACCAGGCCCTGCTGAACATCAAGGTCAAGCTGGAGGCTGCGATCGCCACCTACCGCCGCCTGCTGGAAGATGGCAAGGACTTCAATCTTGGTGATACCCTGGACTGCAGCAACTCCATGCAAACCATCCAAAAGACCACCACCCGCCAGATAGACCCGCCAGATAGTGGATGGCAAAGTGGTGTCTGAGACCAATGACACCAAAATTCTGAGGCATTAAGCCAGCAGAAGCAGGGTATCCTTTGGGGAGCCCGAAGCCAATAAAAAGTTCAGAGGTTAAAAAAAATAAATAAAAAAAGTTGAAGCAGAAATAAATGAATTTGAAATGAGGAAAACAATACAAAAGACCAATGAAACAAAAAGTTGGTTTTTTTCAAAAGATAAACAAAATTGACAAACATTTAGCCAGAGTAAGGGAAAAATGGAGAGGACTCAAATACATAAAAACAGAGATGAAAAAGGAGACATTACAACTGATACCACAGAAATTCAAAGGATTATTAGTGGCTAATATGAGCAACTACATGCCCATATATTGGAAATTCTAGAGGAAATGGATAAATTCCTCGACACAGACAACCCACCAAAACTGAACCATGAAGAAATCTAAAATCTGAACAGACCAATAACAAGTAACAAGATTAAAGCTGTAATAAAAAGTCTCCCAGCAAAGAAAAGCCTGGAATCCAATGGCTTCACTGCTGAATTTTAGCAAATATTTGAAAAAGAACTAATATCAATCCTACTCAAACTATTTTGAAAAATAGAGGAGGAGGGAATACTTCCAAACTCATTCTATGAGGCAAGGATACACCAGGCAATACTATGCAGCCATAAAAAGGAATAAGATTATGTTATTTGCAGAACATGTATGGAGTTGAAAGACATTATCCTCATCAAACTAACGCAGGAACAAAAAACCAAACATCACACGTTCTCAGTTATAAGTGGGAGCTGAACAATGAGACCACATGGACACATAAGGGAAAACAACACACACTGGGGCCTGTTGGTTGGAGGGTGGGTATTGAGGGGAGGGAGAATCAGGAAGAATAGCTAATGGCCGCTGGGCTTACTACCTAGGTGATGGAATGATCTGTGCAGCAAACCACCATGGCACACATTTATCTGTGTAACAAACCTGCACATGTACCCTTAAAATAAAATTTGAAGAAAAAAAAAAGTCTCCTAGTAAAGAAAAGTGTGGGCCCAATGGCTTTAACACTGAATTCTACCAAACATTTAAAGAAGAACTAATACCAATTCTACTCGAACTGTTCCAAAAGACGGAAAAAAGGGATTACTCTCAAACTCATTCTATGAGGCCAGTATTATCCTGCTACCAAAACCAGACAAAGACACATCAAAAAAGGAAAACTACAGGCCAAGTTTTCTGATGAATACTGATGCAAAAATCCTCAACAAAATACTGGCAAACTGAATTCAACAATACATTAAAAAGATTAATCATCATGACCAAGTGGTATTTATCCCAGGGATGAAAGGATGGTTCAACACATGCAAATCAATCAATGTGATACGTCATATCCACAGAATGAAGGACAAAAACCATATGATCATTTCAACTGATGCTGAAAAAGCATTACAGTCCAACATCCCTTCATGATAAAAACTCTCAAAAAACTGGGTATAGAAGGAATATACCTCAATAAATAAATAAGACCCATGGCCAGCATCATACTGAATGGGGAAACACTGGGTTGGATTTCTCATGAATGATTTAGCACCATCCTGTTGGTGCTTTCCTCACAATAGTGAGTTCTCACGAGATCTGGCTGTTTGAAAGTGTATGGCACCTTGCTCTCCTTCTCTTGCTCCAGCTCTTCCCATGTCATGTGCATGCTGTTCCCTACCTTCTGCCACAGATTGTAAGTTTCATAAGACCCTCCTAGAAGTTGAGCAGATGCCAGCATCATGCTTCCTGTACAGCATGCAGAACCATAAGCTAATAAAACCTTTTTGCTTTATACATTACTCAGTCTCAGGTATTTCTTTATAGCAATGTGAAAATTGACTAATACAGAAAATTTGTACCTAGGAGTGGGTCATTGCTATAAAGACACCTGAAAATGTGGAAGCAGACTTGGAACTGGGTAACAGGCAGAAGTTGCAAGGCAGGCTGTGGAGCAACCACATGCTAGAAAGATTTGCATAATGAAAGAGAAGTCAAGTACTGATAGCCAAGACAATGGGGAAAAGGCCTCAAAAGCATTTCAGAGACCTTTGAGGCAGCCCCTCCCATCACAGGCCCTGAGGCCTAGGAGTAAAGAATGGTTTTGTGGGCCAGGCCCAAAGCCCCAGTACTCTGCGCAGCCTCAGGACACTGCTCCACCACCTCCCAGCCACTTCTGCTCCATCCATGGCTCAAAGGGGCTCAGGTACAGCTTGAGCTGCTGCTTCAGAGGATACAAGCCATAAGCCTTGGTGGCTTCCATGTAGTGTTAAGCCTGCAGGTGCACAGAGTGCAACAGTTGAGGCTTAGGAGCCTCCACCTAGATTTCAGAGGATGTATGGAAAAGCCTGTGTGTCTAGGCAGAAGCCTACCGCAGGGATGGAGCCCTCATGGAGAACCTCTACTAGGGCAGTGTGGAGGGGAATTGTGGGGTTGGAGACCCCTCACAGAGTCCCCACTAGGGCACTGCTTAGTGGAGCAATGAGAAGAGGGCTGCTGTCCCACAGACCTCATAGTGGTAGATCCCCTGACAGTGTGCCTGGAAAAGCCCACAGACACTTAATGCCAGCTCATGAGAGTAGCTGTGGGGGTTGAACCCTCCAAATTCACAGGGGCAGAACTGCCTAAGGCCTTGGGAACCCACTCCCTGAACCACTGTGACCTGGATGTGGGACATGGAGTCAAAGGAGATTATTTGGGAGCGTTAAGATTCAGTGACTGTCCTGCTGGGTTTTGAACTTGTGTGAGACCTGTAGTCTCTTTCTTTTGGTTGATTTCTCCCTTTTGGAGCATTCCTAATGCCATACTCCCATTGTACCTTGGGATTTGATTTTACAGGCTCATAGGTGGAAGGAGATGAATATAAGATGAGACTTTGGACTTGAAATTCAGAGTTAATGCTGGAATGAGCTAAGACTTTGGGAGGACTATTGGGAAGGCATGATTGTGTTTTGAAATGTGAGAAAGAGATGAGATTTGAGAGGGGTCAAGGGTGGAATGATACAGTCTAGATCTGTGTCCTTGTCCAAATTTCTTGGTGAATTGTAATCCCCCGTATTGGAGGTGGGGCCTAGTGAAAGTAATTGGATCATGGGGGCTGATTTCTCATAAATGGTTTAGCACCATCCTTCAGGTGCCATTCTGGTGATAGTGAGTGACTTTATGTGAAATCTGGCTGTTTAAAAGTGTGTGGCACCTTGCCGTATGTATCTTGCTCCTGCTCTGGCCATGTGATGTGCCTGCTCCCTATTCATCTTCTGCCATGATTGTAAGATTCCTGAGGTCTCCCCCATAGCCAAGCAGATTCCAGCATCATGCTTGCTTCCTGTACAGCCTGCTGATCATGATCAGAGTTTTTCTTTATAAATTGCCCAGTCTCAGGTGTGTCTTTTTTTTTTTTTTTTTTTTTTTTTTGAGATGGAGTCTCACTCTGTCACCCAGGCTGGAGTGCAGTGGCGTGATCTTGGCTTACTGCAAGCTCTGCCTCCCAGGTTCATGCCATTCTCCTGCTTCAGCCTCCCAAGTAGCTGGGACTACAGGCACATGCCACCACACCCGGCGAATTTTTTGTATTTTTAGTAGAGACGGGGTTTTACCGTGTTAGCCAGGATGGTCTCGATCTCCTGACCTCTTGATGTGCATGCCTTGGCCTCCCAAAGTGCTGGGATTACAGGCATGAGCCATCGCGCCTGACCTTTCTTTCTTTCTTTTTTTTTTTTTTTTGAGACTGAGTCTCGCTCTGTCACCAGGCTGGAGTGCAGTGGTGTGATCTTGGCTCACTGCAACCTCTGCTTCCTGGATTCAAGTGATTCTCCTGCATCAGCCTCCCGAGTAGCTGGGACTACAGGTGCACACCACCATGCCCCGCTAATTTTTGTATTTTTAGTAGAGACGGGGTTTCACCATGTTGGCCAGGATGGTCTTGATCTCCTGACCTCATGATCCACCCGCCTCAGCCTCCCGAAATGCTGGGATTACAGGCATGAGCCACTGCGCCCAGCCTCAGATGTGTCTTTATAGCCATGCAAGAATGGGCTAATACAGACAGTCTCTTCAATAAATGGTGCTGGGAAAACTGGACATCGATATGCAAAAGAATAAAACTTGACTGCTATCTCTTGCCTTGTAAAAAAATCCAATCAAAATGGATTAAAGACAAAAATCTAAGTCTTTAAAGCATGAAACTACTACAAGAAAACATTGGGGAAACTCTCCAGGACATTGGTCTGGGCAAAAATTGCTTGAGTAGTACCCCACAAATACAGGCAACCAAAGCAAAAATGAAGAAATGGGATCACATCAAGTTAAAAAGCTTCTGCACAGCAAAGGAGACAATCAACAAAGTGAAGAGACAACCCACAGAATGGGAGAAAATATCTGCAAACCACGCATCTGACAAAGGATTAATAACCAGAATATATAAGGAGCTCAAACAACTGTACAAAAAATCTAATAATTTGATTTAAAAAAAGGACAATATATTTAAATAGACCCATCTCAAAAGAAGACACACAAATGGCAAGAGGCATGTGAAAAGGTGCTCAATGTCATTGATCACCAGAGATTTGTGAATCAAAACTGCCATGAGATATCATCTTGCCCCAGTTAATACGACTTTTCCCCAATAGTCAGGCAATAACAAATGCTGGCAAGGATGTAGAGAAAAGGGAGCCCTCATACACTGTTGGTGGAGATGTAAATTAGTATAACCACTATGTAGATCAGTTTGGAGGTTCCACAAATAACCAGAAATAGAGCTACCATGTGATCCAACAATTCCACTGCTGGTTCCATACCCAAAAGAATGGGAGTCAGTCTATCAAAGAGATACCTGCACTCCCATGTTTGTTGCAGCACCGTTCACAATAGCCAAGATTTGGAAGTAACCTAAGTGTCCATCAAGAGATGAATTTCAGTAAAGAAAATGTGGTACTTATGCCCAATGGAGTATTATTCAGCAATAAAAAATAAGTTTCTCATCTGCAACAACATGGATGGAACTTGAGGTCATTATGTTAAGTGAAATAAACCAAACACAGAAAGACAAATATCACATGTTCTCACTTATTTGTGGGATTTAAAAATTGAAACTATTGAACTCGTGGAGATAGAGAATAGGATAGTTACCAGAGGCTTGGAGGGAAGCAAGTGGGCAAGGAGGGAGGTGGGGATGGTTAATGGGTATGAAAAAAATAAAAAGAATGAATAAGACCTACAATCTAATAGTCCTCCAATATATTTATTTACCCAATAGAAAAAGAAATATATGTTCACATATAGATTTGTACACTAATGTTCATATAGCTTCATTTGCAATAGTCCCAAACTATAAGCAACCCAAATTTCTATCAACAGGTGAGTGGGTAAACAAATTGTGGTGTACCATGCACGGCATATAATGCATGGTATACAATGCAATACTACTCAACAACAAAGAAGAATGCACCGTGGATACATTCAACAACAAGGACAAATCTAATTATGCTTTATGAGTTAAAGAAGCTAATCTAAAAAGAGTATATACTGTGTGATTTCATTCATGTGAAACTATAAAATGCAAACAAATCTATATTGACAAAAATTAAATCAATTTCTTTGGGTATGGGAGGGTCAACTAAGGGAGGGTCTGTGGTGAAGAGTGAGAAAGGGATTATGAAAAGGCATGAGGAAATTTTGGGCAGTGAGCATATGTTTACTATTTTCATTATAATTTCATGGGTGTATACATATGTCAAAATGTATCAAACTACATTTAAATATATGCAGTTAATTTTATATCAAACATAGCTCAATAAAACATTATTTTAAAGATGTGGTTTCAACAACTTTTGAGTAAGATGTTATTCAACTGGAAATGTTCACCTTGAGGTTGGAAAAGTGGGTCTGGAACTTGGGGGAGAAGCTGGGGGAAAATATTTTAGGAGTAAGCTGTCCCTCCCTTTCCCTCTCTCCCTGTCTTGCTCATTCTCTTTGCTTTTTTCCTTCCTTCATCTCTCTACCACAGCAATTTGTTCTGGTGATACTATTTACATAGAGTTGATAATGGAAGGCGTGTGAAAGGCTGATTGCATTAAATAGGTATAAAGAACAGTTATTGAGGAAAGAAATGTGGAAATATTTGGGGGATGTTGAAGAGTAAGAGAAATGAGAAATAATCAGAAGGATGGTCAGCACATAGGAAAATAATTAGTAGAAGGGAATGTCACGGAATCCAAAGAAGAAGAAAGTTTTAAAAATAGTGGGTGATTATTAGTGTCACATGTTATAGGGTTTCATTTAGCTTCTTTAATGAACTTAACTATAAAATCCAATTATTTAGAGCACTCCATTCCCCCCCACCATTGTAGTTAACTGAGATGTTATAACATATAACCGTACATATGTGTTTAAGCCTCTCCACGGAAATAATTCCCTCTGCTAATAGGCTTATTCATTTGCAAAGATATCAAAGTACAAAGAAAAATAATTCAGGGTTTTAAAAGAAGCTTTGATTGTTTATAAAATATAATATATATATATTAATATATAAAAAATATATGTATATATATTCTTTTTTAGATGGAGTTTCGCTCTTGATGCCCAGGCTGGAGTGCAATGGTGTGATCTTGGCTCAATGCAACCTCCACCTCCTGGGTTCAAGGGATTCTCCTGCCTCAGCCTCCCAAGTAGCTGAAATTACAGGCATGAACTACCACGCCTTGCTAATTTTGTATTTTTAGTACAGATGGGATTTCTCCATATTGGTCAGCGTGGTCTCGAACTCCCGACCTCAGGTGATCTGCCCACCTCGGCCTCCCAAACTGCTGGGATTACAGACAGAAGCCACCACGCCTGGCCTGATTGTTTATATGTTTTTACACACAGATAGCAAATCACAGACACTTCTAGAGGTATTTAGCAGAATCCTACCATGGATTCAAGTCAATATGCCTAGGTCAGCTTTGCTTTTCTAAAACCAAATTAATCTTAGCAAAACTTTTATGTTGAGTGCTGAGTTGCTTGCATCTAGCTTATGTCCTAAGTATTAGATCAAGCATTTTGTTGCGAGCATATCAGCATACCACCTCAGTTCTAGGGCTTTCTGACTTGTAAATTGTTTGTTTGCTTTTTCTTTCAACTACTTATATGTTTGTTTTAATGGGGGAAAACATTGGGCAACTCTGTTTGGCAAAAATATAGAGTCAGTCATCAAAAATTTTATAATGATTGGCTACCAATTAAAATAAAGTTGGTTACCGTTGCCAGGAATAATACAACAAACAATAGGAAAATATCTAGATGATGAATTTCAAATTCTAAGAAGATTAATTAACATGTTGATCTATCTAACTCATAGTATTTTGAAAGCACTTGTTGATTACTAAAAGATGAAGATGGATGGACAGCAATGTGTTTTTGCTCAGTGCTGTCTATTTCTGTGAATGATGATCTGTCTTCTCAGGGCTTAAGAACATCTCCAGTGGGTGACTGAGATTATTGCAAAAAACCTTTGGCAGTTAGTAAAACTAGAATACAACTAGGAATATTTTTAGAGTGTGTGTGTGATCTGGGTATAATCTCACAAATTAACGGAACTTCAATTATTATAAACTGAAATTAAGTAATTAACATGTATATGCTGTGTTGGGGGGCACTAAGGGAAAACAGATACTTGTCCTAGAAAAACATTTCTGAGAATAAACTTCCTGTGAGATAAGTTTGTGTTTCGGGTTTAAATTTTGAAGCACAAAGTTTTTTTTAATTGAAAAAAAAAAAAGAGAACATCTCCAGTGAAATAAGAATAAACCAACCAACCACAGGAACTAAGCTAGTTAATGTGCTTGTTTCTGGTGGAGCAATATGTTGTTAAAAAAAATTAAAACCATGGCTGAGCATGGTGGCTCATGCCTGTAATACCAGCACTTTTGGAGGCCAAGGCATGTGGATCACGAGGTCAAGAGATCGAGACCATCCTGGCCAACATGGTGAAACCTTGTCTCTACTAAAAATACAAAAATTAGCTGGGCGTGGTGGTGCGTGCCTGTAGTCCCAAGCTACCCAGGAGGCTGAGGCAGGAGAATTGCCTGAACCCAGGAAGCAGAGGTTGCAGTGAGCCGAGATTGTGCCACTGCACTCCAGCCTGGGTGACAGAGTGAGACTCTGTCTAAAAAAAAAAAAAATAAAATAAATAAAAAGCTCAAAACTAAACCTCCATTAAAGTAATATCCTTAGCAAATAGGATTCCTTTTACATGTAATAATTCAGTTCACTCAACAAAGCAAACACTATTGGCTTGAAACCTGCATTTTCTGTTTTCGTAACTCAGACTGCATGAAATTCTGAGAACCTTTAAAGAGGTGTAGTAATTCATCCCCTGCTGTTTGGCATAAAGTGGGTGAAAAATTGGAAATAATTTTTGTGGTGAAAACTAATGGAACAAGGTTAGAAATAATAAATTATATAGAAGCATATATTACCTCTTTAAATGGATGTCCTGGCTGCAGATCCTTTGAGATTCTTTCAGCTTTTCCTGCTGCCTACCTGAGAAGGCCTAATGATCATTTCTAAGGACTGCTCAGTTTTTGGATTCATATATGGATGCAGCAAGGAGAAATTAGTTCATTATTTCAGATAAGCACCAGGCACTTGTGGGAAAAGCCCAATAGGGTTAGAATTTCCACTTTCTTGAATTATTTACATTAATTATGGTAATAAAGAAATGATTATTGAAATCTGAAGACTTCAGAACAGATTTAACATTAAGGCTAATTAAAGTATTGATATGGACAGGAGGCAGGGAAATACTGGGTAGAAGAAGGTGGGGTCCCTGGAGAGGGCTTCATCCTCAGGCCTGGACCCATGGCCCTAAATGAAAACATGCATTCCTGTTTTCCTGCCCAAATGTTGCCTTTTCCAAAATGACCCTGGCCCACCAAGCCCCCCATTCTGTACTCATAAAAGGCCCAAGCTCCACTGGCAGAGGAGCAGAGTGGCATGGCAGAGGAGGAGAGAAGAGAAGAAGCATCTGAACGTTGAGAAGAAGCATCTGAACGTTGAGAGGAGTTCAGTTGGGGATGGTTGGGAGGCACCCTGGCTCCTGCGCCTGCTCACCTGTGTGCTCCCCCTCCCGCAAGGGGAAGGTGAAGACTATCTTCCTACTCCATCCACTTTCTAGCTCCCCATCCTGCTGAGAGCCACTTCCATTGCTCAATAAAATCTTCTGCATACACCATCCTTTGATCCGTTCGTATGACCTGATTCTTCCTGGATGCCAGACAAGAATTCGAGATGCATTGGGTGTGGGGACCCAAAAAGGCTGTCACACTGACTCTTCACTGAGCTGTTCAGCACTTAAGCCATCCGTGGATGGGAAAGCTAAAAGAGCATTGTTTGTAACACATGCTTTCTGGGGCTCCAGAGGTCGCGGGCAACTCCTAGATGCTGCTGTGGGCTGGCTGGTGGCCAAAGGCACTTGCCCTGGCTCTTGCACCTGCTCACCTGTGTGCTCCCCTTTCCACAAGGGGTTCGAGGGTGGTAGCTGAGTAAAATGAGCCACACCAGTGTTGCAAGTCCCAGGAAGGGGTCAAGGGATCTCTCCCATCTCAGCGTTTTATCCAAAGTCTTTAAAAAGAAGTGGGTTGGATTTTATATCTATGACTTAATAGTATTTAGGGGAGAATAAGAACCCCCTGAATATAACTGACCAAACAAAAACCCAAACTCACAAAAATGAAAACACTCTATATACCAAATACAGAATTCTATGTTAACTGGTTTTGTAAGATGTCAGAAAGACCTGTGTTCTAATTTCTGTTCTGATTCAGTTGTTTAACTTTGGACAGCTTGATAGTCTCTCAGAGCCTCTGCTCCTCACTAAAAGAGGGAGTATAATATTTTACCAATAGAGATGTGGTGAGGAGTGAGAGAAGTGATCTCTGGGAGAGTGCCTGGACCACATGATTCATAAATGATTATTTAGGGCCCTCTTCTTTACCTTGAAGAATAGCCAGGGTTGACAGTTTAGGGTGCAGACACACAATTTGTTTCAGTGCTTAAGCCAAGTCCCATCTCCTCTTTACTCCTTCTGCTCCTGTACCCTCTCCTGCAGTGTGAATGAGAGAAGTTCTCTTCTTTTGATATACAGGTTTGGATAGAAGTAGCCAGGAGAGTGACCTGTCTGTCTTCTTTCTTGCTGTCCTGTGTCCTTGGTCTTGTTTACAGAAGGCTGTAGCCTCAGTGCTCTGGCCAAGCCAGGCTCTAGTGTTGAGTCATCATGACTGAGATAACATGGGGTGAGTTGACAAGCTATGTGGGGTGCTCAGAGCTGGTGTTTTCAAATTCTTTTGAACTGCTTTAGAGAGGGCACCAGCCTTGGTTTAGGCAAACTTCCTCCCCATGACAGTCAGACTTCTCCTCTAACCTTCTAGATGTCCTACGCTCTGTCAGGGCAAGGAGTGTGGTCCGGATGTCTGATTCTAAGAGGAAGTGCTTCTGTTCTTGCTTTCAGTTCTGATTCTGTCTTTAAACTTCAGGTTTTCTTTTTCCAGGGGGATTTAAATTATGTTACAAGCTTGCTGTAGGCCAAATGCTTTATATCCATTAACCCACTTAATTCTTACAATGGCCCTGCAAGATCTCATTTTACAGATGAGAAAATTGAGACTTTAATAGCTATTAGGACTTGTGCAAAGCAACATAGTGATAGTACTATTGAAGCCCAGATATGTTTTACTTGAAAGCTATTAAATATTTTCTCTCTCAATTGTATTTACCTTCTTCCCCCTTAATGCCACAGCCCCACAGGAGAGGTATCCTGGCCTGGGGCAAGTACTAATTTAAAGGATTAATTTGCCCAGTAAATCCCGAGATGGGTTCTCTTTCTCTAATGGTCTCATCCCTAAGATGTCATTATAAAAACTTTGCCAGCTGGGAAAAGATGCAAAGGACTCCATAGCATCAATGAGTACAGCATGTGCTCATAAAACTGGTGCTTTAAAAACAGCTACATTTTACTGAGAGAATTAAATAACCAAAAATCAAGGCCAAGTCTTGCAATTAAACAACTGGAGCTGCATTAATTATCTATGAACGGTATTCTGACGAGGTCTTTGGTTCTAAGATTTTGAAGGAAGCAAGAAGAGTACAGTATTCAGTGTTCTATGAGACAGAAGATCCGGTCTTCTCAAGTTAGAAGGTCTTTTTGGGAAAAGTTATGATAACTGAATTATTTTATTGTTTTGCTATTTAAAAAGCTCTTTTAAGCCTACAGAGCAGAACAAGCTGGCTCATCTCTGAGCACCAGGGCTAGATCAAAAGTGCATCAACTTTTTTGAAACCAAAACCAAAACAAACATAAATGATATTTCTTCTAAAATTGAAAAATAAAAATTAATGGGGAATAGTCTGGAAGATGGGGTAAAAAGAAGGACAATTGGATTTTTTTTTTTTTTTTTGGAAACAGTTTTACTTTGTTGCCCAGGCTGGAGTGCAGTGGCACGATCTCGGCTCACTGCAACCTCTGCCTCCTGGGTTCAAGCAATTCTCATGCCTCAGGCTCCTGGGTAGCTGGGATTACAGGCGCCTGCCACCATGCCTGGCTGTTTTTTTCTTTTTTTTGCATTTTAGTAGAGATGGGGTTTCACCATGTTGGCCAGGTTCGTCTTGAACTCCTGAGCTCAGGCAATCTGCCCGTCTCAGCCTCCCAAAGTGCTAGGATTACAGGTGTGAGCCACTGCACCCAGCCAGATTTTTTAAGAATTGAACTTTCGTTCAGAATTTGAACTCAGTGTTAATTGAATCTGTTTGAACTTTCATTCAAATGTAAAGGTCTGGTCCCAGGACTAGAAGAGTTACTGTAACATTATACGAGAGACTCTCCTCTGTTATTCACATTTAAGTTTAGCAATTGGTGCAACGGTATTCTCTTGCTAGTCTGAATGGATGTAGAAGCGTGCATGGACAGACAGTGAGTATAAACTGTTAGCCTCACCCAGAAATAATCTTAGAACTCACTGCAACAGATACAAATCTTATCTAACAAAACATTTGGGGCTTAAGGTGGCTTTTTAATTTCAAGCAGTATTCAACATGGCATACTTTTATTGTCTTAGAATTTATTTATTCTTTTAGATGTTTAAAACATTGAACAGATGAGAACACTGAGGCCCAATATGACAACACAAACCCCTCTAGTTGGCTAACTTTAGCTGTGGGTTTAATCTGTGACTGTCAAGTAACTTGATTCTGTAGCAGCTGCAGAACAAACAACATAGGCTTTGGAGTCAGGTTCTATTTATATTTGTGGCCTTTGGAAATGCATTCGTAATTCTTAAAATTTATTGTACATACAAATAACATGGGGATCTTGTTGAATGCAGATTCTAATTCAGGAGGTCCAGGGTGAGGCCTGAGATTCTGTATTTCTAACAAGTTCTCAGATAATGCTGATGCTGGGGGGGTCTAGGACCACACTTTGAGTATCAGAAAATTATCTAAACCTTAATTTTCTCATCTGTAAAACAGGGACAGTGATGACTGCCTAGGAAGATTATTGGCAGCATTAAATGAGTCCATGAGGTGAAGCATCTGACATATAGGAGGATTGCCACAAATATAAATGTGCCTACTCTTCCCTTTCACCTATTTTGTTCCTACTTAGCTCAACAGTTTGTTCAACTCTTTATGCAAGTTTTCTCAGCCCGTTTTCACTAGGGCCATTTCCATATTTGTGTGGCATAATCAGGTTCATGGCAGAAAGGCATGTATGGTTCACTAAGAGCTCATCTTTGTCCTCTTTCCTGAAATCAGTGTTTTATGTTACATCCAATGTTATATGGAAAATCTAAGCCAAATGTGAATGTTCAAAATTGAGTTGATGTGCAAGTTGCTCAAAATAGCTTTAAACCTTTACTTAACCATTAACAAAAAATTATTATTTGGGATCACAAAACAAAACCTAATTGTATTCTTATAAGAAACACTTTTATTTATTTATTTATTTATTTATTTTTTATTTTTTGAGACAGTCTCGCTCTGTCGTCCAGGCTGGAGTACAGTGGCGCAGTCTTGGCTCACTGCAACCTCACCTCCTGGGATCAGGTGATTCTCCTGCCTCAGCCTCCCGAGTTGCTGGGACTACAGGCTTGTGCCACCAGGCCCAGTACAATACAAAAAAAAAAAGTACAATAACTTTTGTATTTTTAGTAGAGATGGGGTTTTGCCATGTTGGCCAGGCTGGTCTTGAACTTCTGGGCTCTAGTGATCTGCCTGCCTGGGCCTCCCAAAATGTTGGGATTACAGGCGTGAGCCACCACGCCCAACCTAATTTTTGTATTATTAGTAGAGATGGGGTTTTGCCTTGTTGGCCAGGCTGGTCTCAAACTCCTGGCCTCAAGTAATCTGCCTACCTTGGCCTCTCAATGTACTGGGATTATGGGCATAAGCCACCACGCCCCGCCAACAAACACTTTTAAAATAAATGGTTTCAAAATGGTTAGAAATAAAAGAATGTGCAAAAGCATACCAGGCAATTCAAACATAAGCCAAATGAGGATTCTAATCTTAATATCAGACCTGTTAGAAGTCAATTCACAAACTGTTCCTGAAAGTAAATGAAAAAAAAAACACTTCCTTGCCCATCCTCTGAGGCCAGTATTATCCTGATACCCAAGCCAAAGATATCACAAGAGAAGAAAACTACAGGTCAGTATCCATTAGGAATGTAGATGCAAACATAATCCTCAACAAAATACTAGCAAACAAAAGAGAATTCTACACCATAATCAACAGGGATTTATCCCACGAAAGCAAGATTGGCTTAACGTTTGAAAATCAATTAATGTCATATATCACATTAATAGAAAAAAAGGACAAAATCACATGATCATTTCAATAGATGCAGAAAGAGCATTCAATAAAATCCAGTACCTCTCAAGATAAAAATACTACAGATAGAAGGGAAATTCTTCCAATTTGTCAAAGGGCATCTATGAAAGACCTACAGTTAATGCTACATTTAATAGTGAGAGTGCTTACTTTCCCTCTAAGATCAGGAACAAAACAAAGATGTCCACTCTCATGACTTCTATTTAACTTTGTAGTAGAGGTTCTAGCCAAGGTTAATTAGGCAAAAAAAAAAAAAAAAGGAAAAGAAAAGACATTTGGACTGGAAAGGAAGAAGTAAAACTATCTCTAGTTTTACTTTACAAAAGTAATAACATTGCAAATGTCATGATCATGTCTATAGAAAATCTAAAATAATCCACTAAAGACCTATTAGGACCAATAAATAATTTCAGCAACATTGCAGGATGCAAGATCAATATAATAAATCAATTGCATTTCAATACATTAGCAACAAACAATCTGAAAATGAAATTCAAGAACAATTTCTTTTATATAGCATCAAAAAGGATAAAATACTTAGGAATAATTTTAACAAGAATTGTAAGACTTGTTTACTAAAAACTACAAAACTTTGTTGAAAGAAATGAAAGATCTGAATAAATGGAAAGACATTCTATGTTCATGTATTGGAAGACAATATATTAAAATATCAGTACTCCCTAAGTTGATCTATGGATTCAGTGCAACCTCTATCAAAATCCCAGAAATTGACAAGCTGATCTTTAAATTCATGTGGAAATGCAAGGAACGTAGAATAGCCAAAACAATCTTGAGAAGAATGATACAATTGGAGTACTCACACTTGCAATTTCAAAACTTACTACAAAGCTGTAGTAATTAAGACAGTACTGCTATAAAAATAGACATTGAGATCAATGAAATAGAATTTAGAATTGACCATAACTTTTTTTTTAACTTATGTGACACTGAGAATTTTGTTAGCAATGAATGTGACACTGAGAATTTTATTAGTAATGGCATTTTTTTTTATTTGACACTAGAAAACTTAAAGACAATAATATGCCCTATCCCACCCCTATATATACCAGGCTTTGTGGTGTGAAGTTAACACGTATTTTTTTATTATTATTATTTTAAGTTCTAGGGTACATGTGCACAACGTGCAGGTTTGTTACATATGTATACATCTGCCATGTTGGTGTGCTGCACCCATTAACTCGTCATTTACATTAGGTATATCTCCTAATGCTATCCCTCCCCCCTCCACCCACCCCCTGGCAGGCCCCAGTGTGTGATGTTCCCCACCCTGTGTCCAAGTGTTCTCATTGTTCAATTCCCACCTATGAGTGAGAACATGTGGTGTTTGGTTTTTTGTCCTTGCGATAGTTTGCTGAGAATGATGGTTTCTAGCTTCATCTATGTCCCCATAAAGGACATGAACTCATCCTTTTTTATGGCTGCATAGTATTGCATGGTGTATATGTGCCACATTTTCTTAATCCTGTCTATCATTGATGGACATTTGGGTTGGTTCTAAGTCTTTGCTATTGTGAATAGTGCTGCAGTGAACATACGTGTGCATGTGTCTTTATAACAGCATGATTTATAATCCTTTGGGTAGATGCCCAGTAATGGGATGGCTGGGTAGAATTGACCCTAACTTTTATGCTCAATTGACCTTTGAAAAAGAGGCCAAGACAATTCAACTGGGGGAAATAATAGTTCTTCAACTAATGGTGTTGGGGAAACTGGATATCCACAGGCAAAAGATTTAGATGCTAAAAAAAAATAAAGCCAGTAAATGCTAAAATAAAAAGTTGAGGAAAGTCCTTTGTAACTTTGGAGTGGAGAATGACTTTTTATTATGACTAGAAACCTAGAAGCCATAAAAGATTGATAAATTCAATTATTTTTGAAAATGCAAGCAAATTCCACGACAAGTAAGGCTTAGAGACAAATGATACTTGGGAAAAATTGTTGCAAGTCATATCAGAAAGGATTAATTTTCCTAAATATATAAAGAGCTCCTGAAAATTTCACTTCTAATAAACACTTAATACAAGTTTACTTGTACCCATGTGAAATGGCATAGGAACAAAGGATTGGAAATATATTATCAAATGGAATGTATTTTGGCAGCTACAAAAAAGAATGTCAAGACTCTACATAGATATGGAAATGTCACTAAGTTACATTGTTAATTGAGCAAAGAAAGAGTGCATAAATAACATTTTTCTATTTGTATAAAATGGGAGAAAAATAAGATTGTATATTTGCATTTGCTCTTTTATGCAGAAGGATACACAGGAAATTAATAGTAGTGGCTTACCTGCAACGGTGAGGACTGTATGGTACAAGTGGATAGATGGGAAATGGGGTAGAAGAAGGAGAATTTATTATTTATTATTTTTTGAAAGTGTTATGTATTTAAATATTACATTGAATTTTTAAAAAGAGCTCCGAACTACTTTGTATTCTACTTTGAAATTTTTCAGACTTAAACAAATAGTGCTTTTTCAGTCAAGCAACAGGGGTCATGGCTGCCCCCTGCATCTCCACTCCCTGACTGCATCTCTGCTGGCTCTGCTGACTCCTCACTCTCAGGCTGGTGCAACCCCGATCCCACCTTGACCTGCTTTTCTGGTCTCATTTCTTCTGTTCCTCCCTGCTCTTCAAAAGTGTATGCTGTAGCACCAACCCTACTAAAAACCTGTCCCAAACATACACACACACACGCGCGTGCGCACACACACTGGCACATGCACACACACGTGCGTGCACACACACAGGCACGTACACACACACAGGCACATGCACACACACGCACACAGGCACATGCACACATACACGCACACACACACAGGCACATGCACACACGCACACACAGGCACATGCACACACACGCACACACACACAGGCACATGCACACACACAGGCACATGCACACACACGCGCACACACAGGCACATGCACACACACGCACACACACAGGCACATGCACACACAGGCACATGCATACACACAGGCGCATGCACACACACACACACACACGCATTCCTCTCCCTTCCACTATGCCAACCTCTTTTGTGCTTTTGAGTCTTTGCTCACACAGAAAAGAAAGCCAGTGTGGAAGATCTCAAAGGTCAGTGTATCAATAACCCATTTCTTTAAAAAAAGTTTTTATTTTTCCCTTCGAGATAATTCAACCTTGCCCAAAGGCCTAGCTGTCATCTCTAGCAAGCCCCAGCTAGATGGCCCTGGTACTTTCTCCCACTCTCTTTTTCTTCTGGGTTGTATCCTAGGGCTGCCATGACAAGTACTACAAAATGAGTGGCTTAAAACAATAGAAATCTACTTTTTCATAGTCTAGAAGTCTGAAACCCAGGTGCCAACAAGTTTGGTTCCTTCTGGAGGCTCTGAGGGAGAAACCATTCCGTGTCTGGGATGGCAATAGTAGCTTAAAATGCTGACCTCTGTAGACATCCTTGAAGCTAGTGATGGCCATGTGTCCCAGGTCTGGCAATGAAAAAATATAGACAGAAGTTTGCTGAGTGCAAGACCTAGAAAATCTGTTATTTTCCTAAAAACAAGGGATAGGCTCAACTAACATATAAGTTTGCCCTTCACTCTTCCTACTCCCTCTTGATTGCACTGTGGATGTGATGTTTGTAAATACAGCAGTAATCTTGTGGGCATGTTGCAAAGAACAACAAGCCAGGGGTGGCTGAACAAAGACAGGTAGAAGAAGCCTCATTCTTTGATGGGTTAAAGGAGCTACCATTAGGGTTAAAGGAGCTACCAGTTGTGGCAGTCCACAACTGACTTGGTTTGTCTTTTTTTTTTTTTTTTTTTTTTTTTTTTTTTGAGACAGTGCTCTGTCTCCCAGGCATTGTGTCCAGAATTGATGGGTTCTTGGTCTCACTGACTTCAAGAATGAAGCTGCGGACCCTCGCAGTGAGTGTTACAGCTCTTAAGGTGGCGCGTCTGGAGTTTGTTCCTTCTGATGTTCAGGTGTGTTCGGAGTTTCTTCCTTCTCGTGGGTTCGTGGTCTCGCTGGCTCAGGAGTGAAACTGCAGACCTTGGCAGTGAGTGTTACAGCTCTTAAGGCGGTGCGTCTGGAGCTGTTCCTCGCGGTGGGCTCGTGGTCTCGCTGGCTTCAGGAGTGAAGCTGCAGACCTTCGCAGTGAGTGTTACAGCTCATAAAAGCAGTGTGGACCCAAAGAGTGAGCAGTAGCAAGATTTATTGCAAAGAGTGAAAGAACAAAGCTTCCACAACGTGGAAGCAGACCCGAGCTGGTTGCCACTTCTGGCTGGGGCAGCCTGCTTTTATTCTCTTATCTGGCCCCACCCACCTCCTGCTGATTGGTAGAGCCCAGTGGTCTGTTTTGACAGGGCGCTGATTGGTGCCTTTACAATCCCTGAGCTAGACAGAAAGGTTCTCCACGTCCCCACTAGATTAGCTAGATACAGAGTGTCAACACAAAGGTTCTCCAAGGCCCCACCAGAGTAGCTAGATACAGAGTGTGGGTTGGTGCATTCACAAACCCTGAGCTAGACACAGGGTGCTGATTGGTGTGTTTACAAACCTTGAGCTAGATACAGAGTGCCCATTGGTGCATTTACAATCCCTGAGCTAGACATAAATGTTCTCCACGTCCCCACCAGACTCAGGAGCCCAGCTGGCTTCACCCAGTGGATCCCGCCCGGGGCTGCAGGTGGAGCTGCCTGCCAGTCTGGCGCTGTGCGCCCGCACTCCTCAGCCCTTGGGTGGTCGATGGGACTGGGCACCGTGGAGCAGGGGGCGCCATGGAGCAGGTCCCGAGCCCTGCCCCGCGGGAAGGCAGCTAAGGCCTGGCGAGAAATCGAGCGCAGCGCCGGTGGGCTGGCACAGCTGGGGGACCCAGTACACCCTCCGCAGCCGCTGGCCCGGGTGCTAAGGCCGGCAGGGCCGGCAGGCTGCTCCGAGCGCGGGGCCCGCCAAGCCCACGCCCACCCGGAACTCCAGCTGGCCCGCAAGCGCTGCAGGCAGCCCCAGTTCCCGCTCGCGCCTCTCCCTCCACACCTCCCTGCAAGCTGAGGGAACCGGCTCCGGCCTTGGCCAGCACAGAAAGGGGCTCCCACAGTGCAGCGGTGGGCTGAAGGTCTCCTCAAATGTCGCCAAAGTGGAAGCCCAGGCAGAGGAGGCGCCCAGAGCGAGCGAGGGCTGTGAGGACTGCCAGCACGCTGTCAGCATGATCTTGGCTTACCGCAACCTTTGCCTCCCAGGTTCAAGCGATTCTCCCGCCTCAGCTGAGGCTACAGGCATGCGCCACTGTGCCCAGCTAATTTTTGTATTTTTAGTAGAGACAGGGTTTCACCATGTTGGCCAGGCTGGTCTCAAACTCCTGACCTCAGGTGATCCACCCGCCTCGGCCTCCCAAAGTGCTGGGATTACAGGTGTGAGCCACTGCATCTGGCCTTTTTTTTTTTTTTTTTTTTTTTTTAAATTGAGATGGAGTCTCACTCTGCCGCCCAGGTTGGAGTACAGTGGCGCCATCTTGGCTAACTGCCACCTCCGCCTCCCAGGTTCAACCAATTCTCCTGCCTCAGCCTCCCAAGTAGCTGGGATTATAGGCGCCCACCACCATGCCTGGATACTTTTTTTTTTCTATTTTTAGTAGAGACGGGGTTTCGCCATATTGGCCAGGCTGGTCTCCACCTCCGGTGATCCGCCTGCTTCTGCCTCCCAAAGTGCTGGGATTACAGGCCTGAGGCACCGCGCCTGGCCTGAAGAATCTTTTCAAATGCAACAGGGAGAGGGATAGTTGTATCAGAATGTTTTCAACTGTAAGTATTCAAGGTAGTTGGAAACAGTAAAGAAATGTATTACCTCACATAACAAGAAGTCCCAAGATAGAGTGGCTCCGGGGTCAGTTAATTCAGTGACTCAAAGATGTTATCAAGGGCCAGTTTTGTTTTAATCTTCCACTCTGCTATTTTCAGCATGTTGACTTGATCTCTCTCTCTCTTTTTTTTTCTGTTTGCTCCCTTTGTGGTTGTAAGAGGCTACTGAAGATCCAGGCCTCAGTGAGATATGACAATATCCAGTGGAAACAGAGTGAATGTCACTTTTCTTGCATTTTTTAAAACCAGTAACTAAAACCTTTCACAGAAGCCATGTCACACTTCATGTCTTTTTGTCCTAATCCAAGCATTGGCAAGAAGAATTAATTCATTTGTTCACTCTTCATATATTTATTGAATGTCTATTATGTGTCACTAGAGCTAGGAAACCTCAGATGGCAAAACAGGTAAAAATCATACAGCTTATATTCTATGGGAAGAGATAAAAAAGAACCAAATGACTAAAGTGGTGATAAATATTATTGGGATAAAAGTGCAATGGGAAAGGGAGATAAGTCATGCTGGTTAGGTAGCAGTAGGGAAGGGACCAGATAATTGGGTTTCACCAGTGAGAAAACATCGCCTGGGGCTGGAACTGAGGCTAAAGATCACCACACCTGAAGCAGATGGTCCCTTGGAAAAGGAAAGTGAATAAAAATGAGGTTCTCTTAGGAAGAAGAAAGTGAGAGACAGTTGTTAGATAGGCAATTACCAGTAAGGGCAAGCTGTGGAAGTTGTGGGACACAGTTCAAAATGAAAATGCAGAATTGTTATTCAAAAAGTAGGAAAAAGTATCACTAAAGGACAAAAATATAACTGTCTTTTTACTTTCTTTCAGTCTTTTTGTTGACCTCTTATGATGGTTTTAATTTGCTATTTAATATCTTTATAGGTAAAGAAAAATTGAAAATTTAAATTATTAGCATGTATTTTATTATTCATTTTGATATTGTATAATGCCTGTTTTACATGCAAACATAAGAGCATTTAACTAATATGTGGAATCACCAAAACTATAGTTCCTATTTTTGTGGCTCCTACATGGATACACATTTTATTCTTACTAGAACAGTGGAAATGATGCACAAAACAAACTCAGTTGTCTTATTTCATTTCCTTTTTTTGAAATTTTATTTTTGAGATGGAATCTGGCTCTGTTGCCCAGGCTGGAGTGCAGTGGCACAATCTCGCCTTGGCTCACTGTAGCCTCCACCTCCTGGGTTCAAGTGATTCTCCAGCCTCAGCCTCCTGAGCAGCTAAGATTACAGGTGCACGCAACCACACCTTGCTAATTTTTGTATTTTTATGGAGATGGAGTTTCACCATGTTGTCCAGGCTGGTCTCAAACTCCTGACCTTAAGTGATCTGCCCTCCTTGGCCTCCCAAAGAGCTGGGATTACAGGCATGAGCCACCGTGCCCGGCCTTATTTCATTTCTTTTCTTTCTTTCTTTCTTTTTTTAAAATTATACTTTAAGTTCTAGGGTACATGTGCACAACGTGCAGGTTTGTTACTTATGTATACATGTGCCATGTTGGTGTGGTGCACCCATTAACTCGTCATTTACGCTAGGTATATCTCCTAATGCTATCCCTCCCCGCTCCGCCTACCCCATGACAGGCCCCAGTGTGTGATGTTCCCATTCCTGTGTCCAAGTGTTCTCATTGTTCATTTCCCACCTATGAGTGAGAACATGCGGTGTTTGGTTTTTTGTCCTTGCGATAGTTTGCTGAGAATGATGGTTTCCAGCTTCATCCATGTCCCTACAAAGGACATGAACTCATCCTTTTTTATGGCTGCATAGTATTCCATGGTGTATATGTGCCACATTTTCTTAATCCAGTCTATCATTGATGGACATTTGGGTTGGTTCCAAGTCTTTGCTATTGTGAATAGTGCTGCAGTGAACATACGTGTGCATGTGTCTTTATAACAGCATGATTTATAATCCTTTGGGTATATACCCAGTAATGGGATTGCTGGGTCAAATGGTATTTCTAGTTCTAGATCCTTGAGGAATCGCCACACTGTCTTCCACAATGGTTGAACTAGTTTACAGTCCCACCAACAGTGTAAAAGTGTTCCTATTTCTCCACATCCTCTCCAGCACCTGTTGTTTCCTGACTTTTTAATGATTGCCATTCTAACTGGTGTGAGATGGTATCTCATTGTGGTTTTGATTTGCATTCCTCTGATGGCCAGTGATGATGAACATTTTTTCATGTGTCTTTTGGCTGCATAAATGTCTTCTTTTGAGAAGTGTCTGTTCATATCCTTTGCCTACTTTTTGATGGGGTTGTTTTTTTCTTGTAAATTTGTTTGAGTTCTTAGTAGATTCTGGATATTAACCCTTTGTCAGATTTTCTTCCATTCCATAGGTTGCCTGTTCACTCCAATAGTAATTTCTTTTGCTGTGTAGAAGCTCTTTAGTTTAATTATATCCCATTTGTCAATTTTGGCTTCTGTTGCCATTGCTTTTGGTGTTTTAGACAGAAAGTCCTTGCCCATGCCTATGTCCTGAATGGTATTCCCTAGGTTTTCTTCTAGGGTTTTTATTGTTTTAGGTCTGACATTTAAGTCTTTAGTCCATCTTGAATTAATTTTTGTATAAAGTGTAAGGAAGGGATCCAATTTCAGCTTTCTACATATGGCTAGCCAGTTTTCCCAACACCATTTATTAAATAGGGAATCCTTTCCCCATTTATTGTTTTTGTCAGGTTTGTCAAAGATCAGATGGTTGTAGATGTGTGGTATTATTTCTGAGGGCTCTGTTCTGCTCCATTGGTCTATATCTCTGTTTTGCTACCAGTACCATGCTGTTTTGGTTACTATAGCCTTGTAGTGTAGTTTGAAGTCAGGTAGTGTGATGCCTCCAGCTTTGTTCCTTTTGCTTAGGCTTGTCTTGGTAATGTGGGCTCTTTTCTGGTTCCATATGAACTTTAAAGTGGTTTTTTCCAATTCTGTGAAGAAAGTCATTGGTAGCTTGATAGGGATAGCATTGAATCTATACATTACCTTGGGCAGTATGGCCATTTTCACCATATTGATTCTTCCTATCCATGAGCATGGAATGTTCTTCCATTTGTTTGTATCCTCTTTTGTTTCGTTGAGCAGTGGTTTGTAATTCTCCTTGAAGAGGTCCTTCACATCCTTTGTAAGTTGGATTCCTAGGTATTTTATTCTCTTGGAAGCAATTGTGAATGGGAGTTCACTCATGATTTGGCTCTCTGTTTGTCTGTTATTGGTGTATAAGAATGCTTGTGATTTTTGCACATTGATTTTGTATCCTGAGACTTTGCTGAAGTTGCTTATCAGCTTAAGGAGATTTTGGGTTGAGACGATGGGGTTTTCTAAATATACAATCATGTAATCTGCAAAGAGGGACAATTTGACTTCCTCTTTTCTTAACTGAATACCGTTTATTTCTTTCTCCTGACTGATTGCCCTGGGCAGAACTTCCAACTCTATGTTGAATAGGAGTGGTGAGAGAGGGCATCCCTGTCTTGTGCCAGTTTTCAAAGGGAATGCTTCCAGTTTTTGCCCATTCAGTATGATATTGGCTGTCGGTTTGTCATATATAGCTCTTATTATTTTGAGATATGTCCCGTCAATACCGAATTTATTGAGAGTTTTTAGCATGAAGGGCTGTTGAATTTTGTTGAAGGCCTTCTCTGCATTTATTGAGATAATCATGTGGTTTTTGTCTTTGGTTCTGTTTATATGCTGGACTATGTTTATTGATTTGAGTATGTTGAACCAGCCTTGCATCCCAAGGATGAAGCCCACTTGATCATGGTGGATAAGCTTTTTGATGTGCTGCTGGATTCGGTTTGCCAGTATTTTATTGATGATTTTTGCATCGATATTCATCAGGGATATTCATCTAAAATTCTCTTTCTTTTTGTTGTGTCTCTGTCAGTCTTTTTTGATGCTGGCCTCATAAAATGAGTTAGGGAGGATTCCCTCTTTTTTCTATTGATTGGAATAGTTTCAGAAGGAATGGTAGCAGCTCCTCCTTTTACCTCTAGTAGAATTCGGCTGTGAATCCATCTGGTCCTGGACTTTTTTTGGTTGGTAAGCTATTAATTATTGCCTCAATTTCAGAGCCTGTTATTGGTCTATTCAGGGATTCAACTTCTTCCTGGTTTAGTCTTGGGAGGGTGTATGTGTCCAAGAATTTATCCATTTCTTTTAGATTTTCTAGTTTATTTATGTAGAGGTGTTTATAGTATTCTCTTATGGTAGTTTGTATTTCTGTGGGATCGGTGGTGATGTCCCCTTTATCATTTCTTATTGCGTCTATTTGGTTCTTCTCTCTTTTCTTCTTTATTAGTCTTGCTAGCGGTCTATCAATTTTGTTGATCTTTTCCGAAAACCAGCTCCTGGATTCATTGATTTTTTGAAGGGATTTTTGTGTCTCTATCTCCTTCAGTTCTGCTCTGCTCTTAGTTATTTCTCACCTTCTGCTAGCTTTTGAATGTGTTTGCTCTTGCTTCTCTAGTTCTTTTAATTGTGATGTTAAGGTGTCAATTTAAATATTTCGTGCTTTCTCTTGTGGGCATTTAGTGCTCTAAATTTCCCTCTACACACTGCTTTAAATGTGTCCCAGAGATTCTGGTATGTTGTGTCTTTGTTCTCACTGGTTTTAAAGAACATCTTTATTTCTGCCTTCATTTCGTTATATACCCAGTAGTCATTCAGGAGCAGGTTGCTCAGTTTCCATGTAGTTGAGTGGTTTTGAGTGAGTTTCTTAATCCTGAGTTCTAGTTTGATTGCACCGTGGCCTGAGAGACAGTTTGTTATAATTTCTGTTCTTTTACATTTGCTGAGGAGTGCTTTACTTCCAACTATGAGGTCAATTTTGGAATAAGTGCGATGTGGTGCTGAGAAGAATGTATATTCTTTTGATTTGGGATGGAGAGTTCTGTAGATGTCTATTAGGTCCGCCTGGTGCAGAGCTGAGTTCAATTCCTGGATATCCTTGTTGACTTTCTGTCTCGTTGAACTGTCTG